>NC_000006.12:65034624-65337654 GCF_000001405.40 Homo sapiens | reverse complement strand
CTTTCTAACTTTGGTAACTTTTCTGAGGTAACAAAAGAGAATATTCTCTTTTTTTAAAGAAAAGCACAGTAAGTTATGTTCAATATAGTCTCAAATCTCAGGAAGCTAAACTACCTGTAGATATAGAGTTAGAGATAGATAGAAAAATAAAGTAGTGTCATAAAATGCTAGAATTTGTTGCTTCTTATACGAGTGTTTATTAAATTTGTAAGCCAGTTATAAAAGTGCTCCTTTAATTGAAAAAAAACTTTACAACTAATATCCTCTGGATGTAGAAAATCATTACATACTCAAACAGAAATGAAAGCCTTTGTGAATTACAAACACATAGACATACAGACACAGAGAAAACTTATAGCTTCAGTTGTAATATTTTAGACTTGGGGCAAGTGTAAATAACACTTTATTATCTGTTCATGTCAAAGAACTATTCTACTTCCTAGTAGATTTGACTTTCTTACTTGTTTTGAGCTCTATGTAGAAAGTGAAAAGACAGATTCTCATTTGATTCTAATTCAACAGAGAGTGAATCTCTATGAAACATTCATCTATTTAGATATCAATAAAGGATCAGACCATGAAACCAAATTCCTAATCTTTGTTGCTACAGATGGAAAATAACTTGTTGGCTATGAACCAAAACCAAAAAGAAAATGTGAAAATATGCAGAGAAATGATTTTAAAGATAGTAAAATTCTATTGTCATTTGAATTTACTTGTAGAAATTAGGAATATATGTATATGTAAATATATAAATATATACCTGTGTTTAAGCACTCCATAAGAAGTGCATTTCTCTTCTGACAGTTTACCTAACCATCAGGTGAATCCACTGGGCATATCTGTGGAAGATTTTTAAAGCTGTTAAAAATATAATTATAATTTTCAATAAAACATAGCATCATAACTTTATGAAAATATTAAACAAACATGTGTGAAAGATATTATTTAATTTACTTTTAATAAGGAATCCAGTAAAGCTTTACTATCAGTTCAAAGGAGAAAACAAGTAAACCACTGAAGGATAAAAGTATTTAGCAAAACCACAAATAGATTTTCCATGGATCTGTCTATCAATACAATGCTATTTCCATCACATCAGTTACTATTTAAATAATGTCTATAAAAATTTGGTTAAAATAAAATGGAATTTTAAAAAATTGTGTAATAAATGTACATATATTCAATACATATATATACATACATATATTTACACATACATATATATTTCTGTCACAATTTGAGTATAAACAATTTGACTATTAAAAATGATTTTGACATAAATCAAAACTGATTTTTTTAACCTTTGCTAAAGAAACATATTATTTCAACAAATAAATGAAAGCTTGAAATTCAAACTTTGAAATGATTATGTCATCCAAAAGACTACCAAAAAGACTAAACAGTAGAAAGAAGAGTTTATTTGTGATATCAGTTCGCTAACTGGGTGTATTAGTCAATTCTCACACTGCTATGAAGAACTACCTGAGACTCGGTGATTTATAAAGAAAAGAGGTTTAATTGTCACACAGTTCCACAGGCTCTACAGGAGGCATGGCTGGGAGGCCTGAGAAAACTTACAATCATGGCAGAAAGTGAAGGGGAAGCAAGCATGGTCTTCACATGGCAGCAGGAGAGAGAGTAAAGGGAGAGGTGTTATATACTTTTACACAACCAGATCTCAGGAGAACTCACTCAGTATCAGGAGAACAGCAAGGGGGAAACTGCCCCCATGATTTAATCATCTCCCATCAGGCCCCACCTCCAACAGTCAGAATCGCAATTCAACATGAAATTTGGCTGAGGAAACAGAGCAAAATAATATAACTGGGAAAACTTCATCTCTGATGTGGACCCAGGGTGCTCTCCTAGAAGTGGTAAAGGGCAGGGTGATTTTTGTGCCTCATAAGGTCTGTGTTCAAAATAGAGTCAGACATATTCAGCAAGTTTGTGGGGAAAGCAATACATATTTATGGGGGACAGGCAAGCACATGTTCAATGAGTAAACATGTATGTAACATACATCCCATGTTCTCTTTGAAGCAGGGCTTTAGCTTTAAAATGAGGTGGAATTTGGCAGTTCACATAAAAAAAGTGAACTACAGGACACAAAGACAGTTTATGTCCTGTCTGTATAAACTGGCTGAAACTGGTTTGAGGCCTACAATTGCTTATCAGAAAAGTGTTTTGTAAGGCGATTCTCTGTCTGATAAGGGTTATGGTGGCCTTGGTTGTAAATCAGAGTTAGAAATGAAATGACAATTTGACTGATAGCTCCTATTACGGAGTTTAGCAAGGGTGTGGTTTTTCTTGTAGCTCTAGAAATTTAGGGAATTGCTGTGCCAGCCAAGCTTTGAACCCTTGTCCAATAGTTACCTTCTGTTTCCTTAACCCTAGGTTTCATCTTAGTAGACAGAGAGGCATCTATCATGATCTCTCAGGTCACAATTGTAATATTGTAGTAAGTGATGGGAATTCATAACATTTTTACTTCTTTCGTTGCTATAGATTTGTGCAAATGGATGCAGTTGTTTGAGTGAAGAAGACAGTCAGGAATATCGGTATCTATGTTTTCTCAGATGGGCTGGCAACATGTATCTGGAAAATACAACTGATGATCAAGAAAATGAGTGTCAACATGAAGCTGTTTGTAAAGATGAAATTAATAGACCCAGGTATTTATGTATCATTTGAGCAGATAATATCACATATCAAAAAGTTATAATTAAATTGATAGTCATCGAACTGTTTCATGGTAACAATGTTTTTGTTGATTAAAATGATTGGAATTTCCATAACAAACACTTACATATACATATATAGTTATTATATATTATGTTACATAATACATGTTATGTATAACAATTCTAGCACAATAAAAGGAGGGAAGAAGGAATATATCTGTATAGAAATAACTTCTCTATGTCATTGTAGAATTAAGTTAGCATAAATCTGTGGTAAATTCTGCTAAGTTAAGATGTGTACGATTAGCTCCAAAGCAACTACAAAAAACAACAACAAAACAAACAAAAACTCATATGCTTTAGTAAAATTAGCATTAACAAAATTAAAATGTTGCCCTCAGGGTCTGGCACAGTGACTTAAGCCTGTAATCTCAGTGTTTTGGGAGGCCAGGGCAAGAGAATAGCTTGAGGCCAAGAGTTTGAGACCAGCCTGGGCAACATAGTGATAATTTGTCTCTACAAAAAACTTAAAAAAATCAGCCAGGTGTGGTTGTGCACACCTGTACTCCTAGCCCTAGCTACTTGGGAGGCTGAGGAAGAAGTATCACTTGAGCCCAGGAGTTAGAAGCTTCAATGAGCTATGATTGTGCCACTGCACTCCAGCCTGGGCAACAGAGTGAGACCCTATCATGAGAAAATAAATACAATAAAATAAAATATTGCCCTAGAGATTTACTTAGTATAAAAGAAACTAGTATTAGAATAATTACAATGAAAAAAATACAGGTACAAAAGAGATATAAGACATGTGGAAAACAAAAAGTAAAATGGCAGGCATAAATTCAAATATATCAAAAATATTTAAATAAAGTGATTTCAGAAATTCAGTCAAAATTTAGAGACGTTTAGACTGGCTGTTTTCTGATTTAGTCAACTATATATGATCTATAGAAGATACACTTTATGTATACGTGTGTGTATATATATATATATGGTTTACGGAAGACACTTTAGATTCAAAGATACAAATAAGCTGAAAGTAAAGCAATAAAAAAATATCATTCAAACTGCATCAAGAAGAAAACTGGAGTGCCTATACTAACATCAGGGAAAAAATAGATTTTAAGAGAAAAAATGAAACAGTTAGTAGAGAAAAAGAAAGATATTTTATAATTATAAAAGAATCAAACTATCAGAAAAGGTAGTGATTACAAACATATATGTGTGTGTATATATATATGTATATACACAACTAACAACAGAGCCTCAAAATAATGAAGCTAAAAAATAATTTAAGGGAGAAATAGCCAATTCAACAATAACAATTAGAGGCTCTAATATTCTACTTTCAATAGCAGATATAACACTTGGCTATAAATCAACTAAGATATAGGAGATTCAAACAACACTATAAATCATCTAGAAATAGTAGATAGCTATAAAACACATTACCCAACAACAGCAGAATAACCTTCTTAAATGTACATGGCACACTCTCCAAGATAGATCATATCCTACGCTATGCTATAAAGCAAGCTGTAATATATTTCAAAAAATTGAAATAATAAAAAGGACATTATCTGACCAAAATTGAATGAGATTAAACATCAAAATCAATAAGTAACTTGATAAATTTACAATTACATGGAAGTTAAATAATACAATCTTTATTAAACAATGAATCAAAGTGAAATTGCAAGAGAAATTAGAAAAGACTTTGAGATTATTGAAAATGGATACCAAAACTCATGGGATGTGGGTGATGCAGTGCTGCGAATAAAATTTATAGCTGTAAATACCTCAATAGCCTAAACTTCCACAACACAATGGATAAGAGAGGAAACTAAACCTAAATAAAATAAGTAGAAAGAAGGAAATCATAAAATGTAGAGTAAAATTAATAAAATAAAATATAGATAAACAATAAAGAATATCAAAAAACAAAATTTCATTTGTTTTAAACATTAACAAATATACTAAAATCAGGAATAAGATATAAAATATTACTGAAATTACAGAAAGAAAAATAATTATAAAGAAATGCTATGAACAACTGTAAATTAAAAAAATTAGTTAACTTCGATAAAATAGAAAAATACCAACTACTGAAATTGATTCAAGAAGAAGTAGGAAATCTAACCTATAACAAGTAAAAAGATTGAATCAGTAATTAAACAAACTAACAAAAATTAACACTATGAAATGTTCATGGCTAGATGACTTCACTGAGACATTGTAACAGATATTTAAAGCAAAATTAAGAGTAGTTATTCACCACCTCCTCCAAAAATAGAAGAGAAGAGAACATTTCCCAACTCATTTTATGAGGCCAATATTACAACAATAGCACAACCAGACAAATCACAAGAAAACTATAGGCAAATCTATGTTTTCAATCCCTCTATATAGCACTATAAACCCTCTGTATACCACTAAGATCAATGAAAATGAGAAAATTGTATATACTCTGAATAAATGGAAATATAATGCATAGACTTAAATATTAGGCCTTAAGTTAGCTAAAATATTAATTCTTCCCAAATTAATTCACAGAAGAATCCTCAACACGGTGATACCACACCAAATTCAGCAACATATAGAAAGGTTTATACAGCATGACCAGGTGGGATTTATCGTAAGAATATAAGTTTGATTTAGTGGCTTAAAATCAATTAATGTAATTTAATGTATCAATAGAATAAATAAAGAAGAAAATGCATGATAATGTAGATGGAGAAAAAAATTGTATTACAGAATCTCACAACACTTTATGAAACAAACACTCAACAAATAAAGAATAAAAGGGAACTTCCACAATCTGATAAGAGAAGTTAAAAAAAAATAAGAAGAATGAAGAAACATAACTAACATTATACTTTACGGTGAAAGGCTGAAAGACTGGAATTTTAAATCAAAACAATGAGATAACACTTTACACCCAGCAATTCTACTTCTAGTATATACTCAAAAAATTGAAAATATATGTTCTTTACAAAAATTTATATGTGAATGTTTACAGTTTTGTTCGAAAGAGTCAAAAAGTTGAAACAACCCAAATGACCATCAACTGATGAATGGATATATAAAATTTGTTATATCCATACAATGAAATGTTATTCAGCAATAGACAAAGATGAATTACTGATATGTGCTTCAATACGAATAAACATTGAAAACATTTTGATAAGGAAAAGTAGTAAGCCACAAAAGACACATAGAATAGTGCTCAACAAATACTTGTTTAATGAAACAATGATTTTCAGAAGCTTTTTTATTTACTAAGAAAATTATCCTTCGTTTTGTGATGTTATTTCCTTTTTTCTGATTTTGTGATTCTCTTTTGTTTGCCATTATTTTTTGATATCCAGAGAATCTTGGATAAATTACAAAATTTTTGTAATTTATCAACACTTTAATGAGTTCTTGATATTGTCTCATAATTAATACTAACAATGGAGCCCAACAAATGTTGCAGATACAAGTATTTTATATAAAATTAAGTTTCTCTATATCAGTTGCAATATCTAGAAATTATATGTGTGATACCACCTGTTATAATGTCAAAAGATATGCAAAATGTTTAGAATTAAAAAAAAGATGCTCTAATTCTCCATTAAAAAGACCCTCTATATACCACTAAGCTCAATGAAAAAGAGAAAATTATATATACACTGAATAAATGGAAATATAATGCATGGAGTTAAATATTAGGCCTTAAATTAGCTAAAATATTAATTCTTCCCAAATTAATTCACACATTTAATGCAATAGTAAAAATATTGCAAGTTATTTTAGAAACTAATTATCATGTTATATATATTTATGAATAATATTTTCTAAATTATGAAGTCATCTTTGAAAAGGAAGACTAATGGGGTGGGATCTGATGAACCATATGACATGACAGACTACATAACACATATGGGTGCCTTTAAAGGAAAAAAAATAATAATGGGTCAACAGAGAGCTCTGACAACAACCCGAGTATATACGGGAACTCAATATATGAGAAATTTGGCTATAATCTCATTTGAACATACAGGGTTCTTTAGTAAATGGTATTGAGGAAATGGCTCATAATAAGACCTTAAATGAAACTGGATTACAACCTTATACCTTATATAGAAGTAGACTCTAAATGTGTATAGGGATCTAAAAGTTTAAGGTAAAATGACGATATAAATGAAAGAAATGTAGAAAAATATCTTTGTGATTTCGGGATGGAGAAATTTTTCAATTAAACTCAATTTATAAGGCAAAATAATGATAGTATTATAATGATAGACACTAATAATGTTGATGATGTTAACGGACACAAAGTTAATGAATAGCGTATAAACATTTTCTTTTAAAGTGTATTTTAAATGGGTGCAGATTAAAATTCATTATATAAATGATGTATTGCAAACAGGTCTGCATATTACCACATTTTTTTGCCCTGAAATCTTCAAAAAATTTTTCTGGGGGTTTATAAAATGTTTAATGAGCCAAAGACTAAATCATACCAGCCATATTGTTACTTAAGACCAGGAAAGATTTGCTAAGTCTGGGATGTTAATTTCTTAATACCATGCCCAGACTGTGAAGTGTTCATGACTCCCACCTGTTTTTGAAGCCTCAAATTTATGTCTAAGTCACCAATCCCTACTTGCTACCAGAAATATCATAACAGAATGAAATATATTCATTCATACATTTATTATTTATTGAATCTCCTCTAACTGGAAGATATTTTTCAAAATGTTATGACAATGAGACATGATACCTGTCCCCAGGTAATGTACTATACATAGGTAAGATTATACACTCTTCAGAACACATCTCATGGTTCTTCTGTTTCATTTAGAAAGTGAACACATTTTTAAAGTACTAAAGTAATTATTTTTTTCACTTTCTGAACATACAAGTTGCTTGATTATAGCAGTGTGTCTTCTGGCTTTCTTTCTGGAAGTTTTAAATTTAACCTGTTTCCTTTACAGGCTATTTTAGGAGATTCACATTTTCTGTGTAATGTTAAATATATCCAAAACATAATTTTCAGTTATAAGTAAGAGTTCTGTTTCAAAGTGTAGAATCTAAAAGTCCATAAGAAAATCAGGTGAAGTTTCAAAAACTATTTCTGTAGAGTCAGGAGGCTTGTAAAAATAGAGCTTTATGTGAATATGGCACAAAAGTATAGTATAATTTGACCAGGATTTTCTTAAATTATTTCTGATCCCAAAAGTCTAATAATTATTTATTCTAAGACTATTGTAATTTCTGCCGTGATGTCCGTGATTTTATTAACAAGTTGAATAGTTGGTTTTAGGTTTATTTATTTATTTTGGCTATACTATGCAAACTTTTCTGCCTTCAAGTAAAAGTTTTATGTGGGTATATTTTTACCTTTAAAGCAAAAAAGATATCGAACTGCATATGAAAGTGTCATATTGAATGTATTTTTGGGTTGGGGCCAGTCTTGAAACCACTAGATCAAGTGTCTAAATCTTTTTGTCTAAGGCACTTACATACACTGATATATTTTCTCTCTTTATTATGCTCTAGAAAACCAAATAATCTTGGTTCTTAAATCCTTATAGTAAAATGATATAGAAATCATTCATTTAAGCAATTCTAGAGTACATATCATTGTATTACCCATACACATACCAAAATTATTATAACAAACTTCATTAAATGAAGCATTTTTGAATAATAAAGTTTCAAGTTTCATATGGGTTGAAATTTAACTCATCTATACACAATTATCTCTCATATATTTTTCCCAAATACATACGTTATATATTTAAAATTAAAGTTTGACCGTATTATAGCTTCAGGTTTTATGACTTTTCATACTTCAATTTCATATCTCAAACAATAAAATGACTTGTGCATGTTATATAGTTTTATACTACCTAAGCCAGATTTTTATTTAAATTTATATTTAAATCGTTTTTATAGGTATAACCTTTTAGCATTGCTTTTCAAATTATTTTCTAAGACTTGGAGTTTCATGCAGCCTTTTATGCAGAATCTTTAAAAGGTGACCTTTGTCTTAAGCATAGCTTGCTCAAGTTTAAAATGCATTTGTTGACCATATTAATGCAACAGTAATTGAGCATCCACAGTTTATATGGTATTTGGGTCATAACTTTAGGATTCAGGATAATGTGTAAAGGAATAATTTTAGTTTTTCTATTCCTAGAATTTTTTTCATTAAAAACATAAATGATAAAAAACTAATAATTATAATATTTTCACATCAGATCATATTTTTAACTTATAGAATTTTACCTAGTAGGCTTCTGCTTTTTACTTTCTATCATATTATTCACTTGTTTCCCATTTATATTTTAAAATTTATATATTTAATACAGTTAGCAATACATTCATAAATTATTTTAGTCCAATTTGATTTCTCAAAGAAAATTTCTTTAGATTTACATATTTTCAAGATATCAGTAACATTTATAGGTTACTATAATTTTCATCAAAATTGATATTTTAGCAAAATTGATGTACTCACTGAAAAGCTTTCAATCTGATAGCCATTTCTCTTAGTACTCAATATCAATGTACACATATATATTACAATTTATTTGAATTTATTAATTATTATGACAAAATGCTAGACGTACTAGTACATGGTTGGGTGAAAAGTGATGAGTGCTTTTGTAAATTGGAGAAATTTATTTCAGCTCAGTAATTTTCAGGGAGAGTATTTTGTCTTCTAGAGGCATCTTGGGAACTTCTAGAGTCATTGTCAATATTCAGAATAATTGACTGGAACAGTTTAATTTTAGGATATGGGTAGTGAATGATGAATGTTATAAATCTTTCAATGCACAGAACAGTTCAGGCAAAGCAAACGTTTTTCACAGATTGCACAATTTCTAAAAGTCACAGCATATGTTAATGTGTGTATAAAACCTATATATGAATATCTAAGCCTAGATCTGAATTTCATGTCACATATTGGCATGAAATATTTTTACACAATTTTAATAATCATTGACTATATCAGGAATAAATTTTTTATGTTAAGTCAATAAATATTTTTCATTCAGAAATTTCTTAGAATTTTTTAACTATATTGAAAAAAATACATCATCCTACTTGAGTGTCTAATAGGAAATGACTATTATCAGTCTTTATTTATGGCTACCAAACCCATGGTAATTCTGTGTATGAGTGCAAAGAGCTAACCACTTCAATGTATCTTCTAGTTCAGTCATTCCTTAGTATTTTTTGTATAGAAATAGTGGTCTTGTAAATTAGTGGTCTCTTATACTTTTTATATTAGAGTTAGGGAATTATCTTGGTTAATTTTTAATATTAGGTGTGTAGGTAGGATACATTATGAATTCCATTGTATGAAGTAAAGTGTGTGCTACAAAAACCAAAAATGCACTATTAATAGAAAATATTGGTCTCATTGATTTTAGTGTATCCATTTCAGGAAGTACAAAGCTAAGTAGATTATACACCTTTAAAAGTATAATAGAGGATCAAAAGCAGACAAATATTTCAAAATTATAAGAAATAAATAACATCACAAACCACAAAATAAATAAATAAAACACAATTCACATTTCAAAATAGAAAACAAAAATATTATAAACACATAAAAGACATATTGGTTATTAACATCTATTAAATTACCTCAAAAATCAAAGTAAGAGCAATTCTAGGTTAAGAGGTTCATTATAACACTTTGACTTAGAAGGATCAAAAACACACAACCGAAAAACTTACTGGAGAGATCTTAATTGAGAACAAGGCTGGAACTACAGACTTGATATATCAAGGTGGAATTTAGGATAGAAAGTGTTAAACCAGATAAAAAGTAGTTTTTATTTAGCTTTATGTTGACGTAATAAAGCATTTTGCATTACAATCAATAATGCCTGCTATTAATTTAGGCTCCTGAAAGTATTTAAGTATATAAACAAGTCAAAAAATGAGGAAGTATAAATTGGATAGGAAGAAACACAATTATTGTGGTTTATAGATATGATTATGAATATAGTAAAATAAAAGAATTGATTTAAAAAACTTATTAGAAATAAAATAATTTTATTTTGTGGTCTACTGACAAATCTTTGTAAGAAATGTATAGATTTCCAATAAGAAATAAATGTCGTTTAGAAAATAAAATGAAGACTAATATTTTATTTACAATAGTAACCCAAAAGATAAAACACCAAGGAATAAACTGTTATAAATGCATAACAAAAGAAAATCTTAAAATTATAATGAATGATTTATGAAAGATTATTAAATGCTTTCAATTGCATAGCATGTTCTTGGGTAGAAAGGCTCAATGTTTTAGATATGGTAATTCTAAATTCATATATAAATTCTATATGGTCTCATATAAAACAAAAATAAATTTTTTGTTTTACTGTGTATATAAAAAGGATAAAAGTTGAAAGAAAGAAAAACTATAGGAGTATGAGAAAAGATATTAAAACAAGGTATTAAAATATGTTCTGGGGTGTTAAATCAAACATTCTACTGAGGGAGACACTGACTCATATATATGAGTCATATGCATATGTATATCTTATATATAAATATATGTACTTATCTATATGAATTTATTTTAATATACATAGCATTTCTAATCAATGGTAGAAAAAAATTACACCATTTAAAAATTTATCAGATAATTCATTTATGAAATAAATCTATCGCTTTCTAAAAGACAATGAGAGTGAATATTTGTATATCTTAAAATGAGGAGGCTTTTCTAAACGTGACACAAGATTGAGAAGCAATTAAAGGAAAAACAGATACAGGTGTTATATAAAAATGTATAATTTATAAAGGTATACACTCCAAAAACATTCAAGCATCTGGAAAAAATTATTTACAGTACATTAGACAAAATGATATTTTATAGGTACTCCTGTTAAATATAGCCAATGTAGTGCATGGGTTTCTATTTTTTCCAAAACCCATTAAAATTATGATCAAAGGGAACAAAGAGCATGGGAGAGGAAGCTATAGAATAAATAAGTGGATTACTCAACAACAAGAACACTGCTCTTTCATTAGCTTAATACTTTGACTATTTTGAGTTCAAGACAGTTTAAAATTAATAGGAGGCCTCTTACAGTTTAGCCAGTCTATTACAGGCAAAACCAAGTGAAAGATTGAAATAAGAATTCCTGTAACTCTAGCCCAAAGCTCATTTTTAACCTAAAAAATGATCTCGACACTAATTAGAGGCTGGAACTATTTCTAGGAGTCAGAGTGTCCCTACCCTGGGTAAAGCACCATTAACATTTCAACAGGCCACCCAAATCAGAAAACTAGGAAGTATTTTAGACCCCTTCTCCTCCTCACAGTCCCCTGTCCCTGACACATCCAATCACTAAGCCATCTGATTCTACCTTTTGAATCTGAGTGACTTTAGAACAAGTGTCCTGGAGTCAAAGAGACTCCAGGTTCAAATCTGAACCTCCAAGAAGTTCAAATCCTCCTGCCATCACTTATGAATTGTGAGACCTTAAGCAAGTCATTCTCCCTCCTATGCCTCATTTCTCTCAACTCCATTGCAGAGTTACTATACCTACCTTAAGGGAGATTAAATAATGATGAAATGAGACAGTGTAGGTATCAAATGCAGCGTTTGTTGTATATGTGCTTAAAAATTTATTTAAAATATTATTATTGATTTGCTGTCTCTATCCTCACCAGTACAACCTAAATCCAGGACAAAAAATATCACAGCTAGATGAAGAAGGATGAGGAGGATGAAGAAGGGAGAGGAGGAGGGGAGAAGAGGGAGAAAGGAGAATTATGAGGAAGAGTAAGGAGGAGGAGGAGAAGTTTATGATGGTGGCGACAGCTGCCTTCATTGCCTCTAAATGTGAATTCCCCTTGCTGCCACCTTGTTACCAGGGCCAGCTGCCTGGGGGTGTACCTGTGCCAATGGTGCTGCCACTAACTGAAGTTATAGGGGCATGTCTGCCGAAAGCTCTTCCACCACCTGCTAATGCAGACTGACAATCCACTGTGCTAAAATATCTTTTACTTCTGATCTCTTAAAGGCCATGCTTTGTCACTTTAATCCCAGAGATACAGTATCTAGCTCTTTCAAAAATCTCTCTGACACTTCGTGAGGAAACAGTTCCTTTGGCTTTTTGGAGAACCTGACTCTCATGACCAAAGGAAGGATCATTAATTTCATTTTAAAAATGATAAAAACAACCTCAGAAAGGTTTTTAAAAAGTTTTTCCAAGTCACACAGCAGAGCCAGGGTCCTCTGATCCAAAGTCCAGGTTACTTATGTACAATCAAATGGTCTCATGTCCTCTTTCTTGTGAATTCACTGTTATAGGTACCATTTTCTCTATGCTTTCTCTTCTTTCCTGACAGTGGAGAAGAGCAAATGCTAGAGTGATCTTCCGAGGAAGGACTCTGGCTTTGACTCATTCCAATCTTCCTAATCTCAGCAAGGCAAGCGAAGAGGGTTGCAAGGAAGGTTTACAATATCACCGGTGTTTCACTGTATGTTCCTTCCTTCAAGTGGCTCTGGTATTCAGAATGCATAGAGGAAATAGCCTGGACTTAGGGTGAAGATGTGAACTGGAAATCTGGCTCCTTCCTTTCCGTCATTCATTAACAAATTTTCCTTAGTGGGCCCAGGATCTGTTTTGGGCCTGGAAATACAACAAATAAAACAAAGTCCCCACTCTCATACAGTAACATTCTTGCAGGAGAAGACAGAAAATAAACAAATGAAGAAATAAACAAATAAAAGCCAGGTGGTAACAAATACCACGGGAAAAACAATGAATCGGGGTAATTGATAAAGAAAGCTGGGAAAGGGGCTATTTTATATAGCGTAGCCAGGCAAGGGTTTGAAGGAGCAGTGACATTTAATCAGAGATGGGAATAAAGTGATAGATTTCTGGCAAAGGAGACAGAGCAGGTGTAAAGGCCCTGAGGTAGGAACATGTCAAGCTGTGTGGAGAATGGCAGCACTGAGTTCAGGAAGCAAGAGGGAGAGGTGAGACCAGAGTGACTGGGAAAGTGAGGGAGTGGGGAATAGATTAAATAGAACCTTAGAAGCCCTACTAATGCTCTGGATTTTACCCTGAGGGATATGCCAGTGAAAGGTTTAAGCAGAGGAATGACATGATCTGCTTTATGTTTTTGAAAGGCTCACTTTGGTCACTATACAGGGGCCAAGGTAGAGGTAGCCGTTAAATAGATTTTGCAATAGGTCAAAAAAGATCATGGTGGCTCAGACAGAGATGGAGGTGACGGTGACAAAGGTGTCAATGGCAGGCGATTTTTCAAAGGCAGAATCTTTTAGCAGCTGGGCTACTTTGACTGAGATATTTTGCCTCTCCTGGCTCAGGTCCCTCATCAGTAACATGAAGGTAACAGTACCAATCTCATAAAATCACGGTATGGATTAAATGAGATAATTTATATGAAGGCTATACCTGTTGTTTTCCTTTGTATTAAAGACAAAGTCTGCAACCTTACACAAAACTTTATTACATATATGCTCAAAGACCGAGATGTAAGAACACCTTGTCTTCAGAGTAGCAGAAACAATTTTGTGTATAGCAAGATTATTTACACTCATCTATCTCATCCTCTTAAATAAGAAAACTGATTACTATAAATATGTGCCAGCTTTTATGGTTCATTTTAGAATCTTAGTGCGTCAAAAAGTATAAAATAGTTAGACAAGTGAGGGATAAGTGAATCATGAGAGTCTTATTTATAGAATAAAAGCTGGGAATATCTGTGAAAACATCTTAATAATGATTATGACTGGTGGATGATATTGCAGAGTTTTAAAAAAATCCCTTTGTGCTTTTCTACATTTTCCACATCAATACAATAAAAAATGTATTTTAAGAGTATTTATTCCTATATCCATTTAGCAAAGAGAGTTAGAATCTCTGAAAGAAAACATGAGACAAGTAAAGAAAATAAGTATGTTAAAATTATAAGGGAAAAAGGGCAAAAACTAATATTTTGTGGGTATTATCTGCACAAAAGACACATCAAGTAGTTATTTAATTTTTGCAAATTAAATAGCAGGATGTGCTTTTTTCCCTAAATCAAGAGCCACTGAGGTATGGATGGAACACATTGGAACCAGTGAGCCTGAGATGGAGTCTGGCCTGGACTTTTTTCTTTTTTCTTTTTTTTTTTTTTTTTTGAGACGGATTCTTGCTCTCTCACCTGGGCTGGAGTGCAGTGGCACAATCTTGGCTCACTTGCAACCTCTGCCTCCTGGATTCAAGTGATTCTCCTGCCTCAGCCTCCTGAGTAGCTGGGACTACAGGCGCGCGCCCCCAGGCCCAGCTAAGTTTTGTATTTTTAGTAGAGACGGGATTTCACCATGTTGGCCAGGATGGTCTCGATCTCTTGACTTTGTGATCCACCCACCTTGGTCTCCCAAAGTGCTGGGATTACAGGCATGAGCCACTGCGCCCGTCCTGGCCTGGACTTCTTACACCCTGCTGGTCGCATGGATATATTCCTGCTGCATAACCAGCCCCAGTGGCTGAGCCTCTGAGGTCTGACTGAGATCAGGTGCAAAGCAGCAATCTCACTGTTATTCATAAGCAATGCTGACAAGCTCATACTAACCTTCCCAAAACTCCTGAGACCTGTGTTTCCAAAATGACGCTATTAATCGGTACATTTCATGCCTCGGCTTAAAACCCCAGAGTCCTACTTCTTTCTCTTGAAGGTGAACCGTGCTTTCCTCATTTCATCTGGTTCCTCTCTCTGTGGATACGTCTGGATAATTAGATCTTGCATATGCAAGAATAAAATGAAGAAAAAGGTGACCTGCCTAGTCCAGTTTCAGGGTAAATTATCTGCTAGGTAAGCATAGAATCCCTTCTTGGCATAAGTGTAGCACATTAATTAGGCTAAGCGTCTCCATCTCTTTTCTCTGCCTTGCCAAATATCTCATTCAGCTATCATATCTTGGTACGAGGAAGCTGTGAGGGAGTGGAGAAAAGAAAAGCATCCTGCCACACAAATAAGGAAAAGGAGATTCAGAAGGTTTAAGTGACTTGCCTATTCTCCCACCCTAAAGAAATCTAACTTACTAAAGCCTTTTCTCCTTCACTAACTTTCCATCTCTAATCTAAACCAAATTTGTGCATTTCACCAGACATCACATTGTCTCTCTCACTGATTTTGAGGCAATGGCCAGGCCCCCTACCAGCTCACACAACATCTTTGTGCCAGTCAGAAAAGGCACCCCTTCTTCCTGGCACATGCAGCCCCCACATTGGTCAGAGCTCAGCCTCATTTTAGACTGGGCATGATACCATAGTGCTGGTTATAGCCTTCATGACTGTATTGCAGCCCCTTAATATGGCTGGACAACTAAGGTGGCTCCCAACACAAAGAAACTTCCTCTTAAATAGCTTGTTGACATTTTAAATTAGAGATGTCAAAACTTGAGGATATTATCTTCTTCATTAAGTCTTTTTCCATTTTGTCTGTTCCCATCAGTGACACTCCCAGAAACCTCTGCCCTCAATCTTGGAATCAATATTTATTCTAGCTGGCTTGTCTTCATCCTCACATCCAGGTTGACACCAAATCTTTCCAACTCTTTTTTGAAAAATAGCAAGTACATTTTTTCCCTCCAACTGCAACCCTCTTTTAGCCTGTGGATTTTATTCTTAGACTCCTGAAACAAATTCCCAGTCTGTTTTATATTTTAGCCTCTTACACTTCCAGGCCTTCCAATGAAACAAGAAGAATCATATTTCTTGGCCACCATTTTAAATCATGTTAATCCATTTCTCAGAATACTGCATCTGCCAAAAAAAAAAAAAAAAAGGCTTTCATACTCTCTACTAGTTTTAATCCCACAAAATCTCCGTAGTCTTACAGAGCACTGCCATGGGTTGAGTTATCCAACAGCAGACCTGAGACAATGTTTAGCGTTTAGTATATTTCTAGGGTATCCCTTGGGACCAACAGCTGTGAAAAGAAGGGGAAAACAATTGAGCAGAGGGAGAAGTCAGGTTGTGATGCAGACCTGATTGCCTTAGCCAACTCCACAGGAAGCTGTAGGTGCCTGCTGGAGTTGCCTCACTTAGGGTGAACATGGCCCTCCATCAGTCACTGCATGCCAACCTTTGAGGGGATGGGGGTGGTGGCCTTAGCTAAGGCCACCTTTTTCAGGCCACCTGTTTAAGGCCACTTGTTAAGGGCCACCTTAAGGCAACCTGTTTAACCTGCACCTCTGCAGCTAAAAGAATCCCTGAAGGGGCTGAGCCCTAGAGGCTATCTACTGGCAGAACTATAACTGGCAGAAGGACAACATGTCCTTCTGAGATGCACTTCTCTGTTTCTACCACCATCTATCCCATGTGCCACTTGGATCCACTTCAAGGAGCCAAATGTGCCACTTGAATACGTTCAAGGAGCAGTTCCTCCACTGTACCAAGAGGCATCTCTTCCCAGTGAAATCTACAATAGGGGAAGTTAATAGGAGGAACTCCACCCCTGCTTCTGCACCAGTCCCAGGGCTGCAACTGATACTCATCATCTCCTTCCTCCATTATCCGTCTGGATTCCTCCTATATCAGGCTGCAGCTCTGCTAGTCTTAGTAGCTTACCTGATGGCATGAACTAGACACTCATTTCTGAGGGACCTGAGCTCCTGGTCACCATGCCCTTATCAGGCTACATGTGCTTTTGTCTTCTCAGCACTTTCTATTCCTTTTGGAATCTCTCATTGGCTGACTCGCAGCCCAAATTCTCCCTCTTGACTTCAGTCCCTTCAGCATGTAGTCCCCATCCATTTTGTGTGTGTGTGTGTTTTTTTTTTCCTGCATTGCATCCTTAGGCAGCTCCACTTAAACTCGCTAGTTAATTCCTTTCTTTAGTCTTTCTGTCAGTTCTTCCCCATCTCCTTTTCTGTTCTATTATTAGGCATCACAGAGCTACAAAAGATCACCTGTGAGACCTAGACTCTCTTTAGAGGGTAGGAAAGACAAAAGAGTAGGGGAGTTGGGGAAATAAGCTGGCAAACAGAAAATTTTTCTTGAAAAATTGGATGGCTGGGGGAGAAGGAAGCAAAAATTCCCAGCAGGCCAGGAAGTCAATAGGAAGGCATTCTAGCTCTCTTTCAATGATTATGTCTAGCTCAAAATGTGGAGTGAATACTTGTTCAGATAACCAAGCAGCCACTTCCCTGTTTAACAGACTACTTTGAGGGAGGGAGTCCTACACTCACCTCCCCTAGCAAAGCGGCGTCATTCCTCTTTCAACCAACCATCCATCTATCTGTATCACTGATTCAACAAATACTTATTGAGTGTCTACAATGTGCTAGTTCAGAGAATGTTCCATGATTATACAGAAGAAATTTTAAACTCCTGTTTGGACATCATCTTAATAAAGACACAAATATAATTCAACAATGTTTTTGAAAATAAGAGGAATAAGAAGTAAGGCCAAGTATCAGGACAGTACATTTAAATGTTTTCGGTTCTTCTATGGAAAACTGAAGACTTTCAGATTCAATGAACAAAACCCATGTTTTGCTAAAATAGAGTGGCGTTTTAATTAAAAATATATATATATATTATTTTTTTTGAGATGGAGACTCACTCTGTTGCCCAGGCTGGAGTGTGGTGATGTGATCTTGGCTCACCACAACCTCCGCTTCCTGGGTTAAAGAGATTCTCCTGCCTCCGCCTCCCAAGTAGCTGGGATTACAGGCATGTGCCACGATGCCCGGCTAATTGTTTTTTTTTTTTTTTTTTTTTTTGCATTTTTAGTAGAGACGGGGTTTTGCCATGTTGGCCAGTTTGGTCTCGAACTCCTGACCTCAAGTGATCCACCTGCCTTGGCCTCTCAAAGTGCTGGGATTACAGGCCTGAGACACCACACCCAGCCAAATAGTGACATTTTAAAAGTTTAAAAATATAAAGATAAAAATCATGTAAACATATATATGTAAATACACAAATCAAAAGTAGAAAATAATATTAATATCAGAAAAAAATAGAATTCACAACAAAACTATGACCAGCCTGGGCGCAGTGGCTCACGACGGTAATCCCAGCACTTTCGCAGGCCAAGGCGGGTGGATCCCTTGAGCTCAGGAGTTTGAGACCAGCCTGGCCAACATGGTGAAACCCCGTCTCTACTAAAGATTCAAAAAATAGCCAGGCATGGTGGCACATGCCTGTTGTCCCAGCTACTTCAGTGGTTAAGGAAGGAGAATCGCTTGAACCCAGGAGGCGGAGGCTGCAATGAGTGGAGATCGTGCCCCTGCACTCCAGCCTGGGTGATGGAATGAGACTCTGTCTTAAAAAATACATATATTATATATATAAATTATATATATTTTATATATATTATATTACATATAAATTATATATACAAAATATATGTAATACATATAATATATAAAATATATATAATATATATATAAAATATGTATATAACCAGGATCAGTGGTGACCAGCCTCCAAGATGACCCTCAATGACCCTGCCTGCCTCCGAGTACCCACACTCTTGTGAAGTCTCCTCCCACACGCACTATACCAGGGTTAGTCTGTTTGAACAATAGCAGATGTGGAAGTGATGGTAAGTCATTTCTAAGATTAGACTTTGAAAGAGTATAATTTCCACGTTGAGCTCTCTTGTTCTCTCTGTCTCTTTGTGTCTTTGTCGCTCTCTCTCTCTCTGATCTATTGCTGGAAAAGAGGAGTGAGAAGGGGAAAGGAGTGAAAAACAAGTTGCTATATTGTGAACAGTTCTATGGAGAGGACTGCACGGTAAAAAAAAAAATGGAGCCTCCAGCCGGGCGCGGTGGCTCACGCATGTAATCCCAGCACTTTGGGAGGCCGAGGTGGGCGGATCATGAGGTCAGGAAATCAAGACCATCCTGGCTAACATGGTGAAATCCCGTCTCTACTGAAAATACAAAAAATTAGCTGGGCGTGGTGGCGGGCGCCTGTCATCCCAGCTACTCTGGAGGCTGAGGCAGGAGAATTGCTTGAACCCCGGAGGAGGAGGTTGCGGTGAGCCGAGATCGCACCACTGCCCTCCAGCCTGGGCAACAGAGGGAGACTCTGTCTGAAAGAAAGAAAGAAAGAAAGAAAGAAAGAAAGAAAGAAAGAAAGAAAGAAAGAAAGAAAGGAAGGAAGGAAGGAAGGAAGGAAGGAAGGAAGGAAGGAAGGAAGGAAGAGAAAATGTAGCCTCCAGCCAAGAGCTAGCAAGGAATTGAGCTCTGTCGGTATCCAAGTGAGTGAGCTTAACAGTGGATTCTCCAGCCCCAGCCAAGCCTTGAGACAATGGCAGCCCAGGAAGAAAAGCTTGACTGTGACTTTGTGAGAGATGTTGAACCAGCCAAGCTGCCCCTAGATTTCCTTGCCTCAGAAATTGCATGAGATACTAAATGTTTGTTCTTTTAAGCCACTAAGTGTTGGAGTAATTTGTTTCACAGCAATAGATAACAGAATCAAAGACATTCATTTTATAAAATATACAGACCGTAACAATAGGAAAACAAAAATCATACCAAAACTACAAATGAAAAACAGTATTTACAAGAATTGTTTACACATTTAACAGAATATTGAATGTAGCTTTATAGTAGTAAAAATAAAACATGCCTTTAAATGTATAATTTTCTGGAGAAATATAAATGACTAAAAATTGACTCCAGAAAATAAACTGAGCAAATTAGTAATCAGTGAATAGATTTAAGTAGAAAATCAAACACCTATTACAGATTTTTTCCATTATCTCTCCACAAAGATCTAGGTTTAGCTGCTCCAACCAATGAGTTCTTCCAACAATTGAGGTAAAATAAATACTTTGACATTTAAAAAAAGACAAAATCAGCCTTAAAATGATAAATTGATAGCATATCCTAATTGCTAAGCCTTACAAACATAAAGAGAAATCATAGTTATAAATATAGATACAATATTTATTATATAAAATTTTCAAATTGAAATCCACACAGAATATAGTCTTTTCAACAAATGATGCTGGTTCAATTCAAGACACATGCACATGTATGTTTATTGCAGCACTGTTCACAATAGCAAAGACTTGGAACCAACCCAAGTGCCCATCAGTGATAGACTGGATAAAGAAAATGTGGCACATATACAACATGGAATACTATGCAGCCACAACAAAGGATGAGTTCGTGTCCTTTGCAGGGACGTGGATGAAGCTGGAAACCATCATTCTTAGCAAACTAATACAGGAACAGAAAGCCAAACACTGCACGTTCTCACTCATAAGTGGGAGTTGAACAATGAGAACACATGACACAAGGAGGGGAACATCACACACTGGGGCCTGCCAGGGGGAGAGGGGCTAGGGGAGGGATAGCATTAGGAGAAATACCTAATGTAGATGATGGGTTGATGGGTGCAGCAAACCACCGTGGCACTTGTATACCTATGTAACAAACCTGTATGTTCTACACATATATCCCAGAACTTAAAGTATAAAAATAATTTTTTTAAAAAGTTGACGATTAAAAAAGAAATGACCCTTACCACCCACCACACATGAAAATCCATTCTGGGTGATTGTAGATTTAACTGTGAAAAGTGTGAAAGAGAAAATAATAAATCAATTAGAAGATAATCTAAGACTATAACTCAGATAATACCTTCAAGACTTTAGGATAGGTAAGGATTTGATAAATTGGGACCAAAAATGACTGTTCATAAGAAAAGATGGATACATTGGATGTTTTAAAATTAAAAACTTCTTTTCAACAGAAACACCATTTAGAGACTATAAAAACAAGCCACAGAGTGAGAAAAGATATTTGCAACACACATAACTAACAAAAGACTTGCATCCAGATAAATAATTTTTAAACTTTTACAAATTAACTATAACTAGATAAATAATGCAATAGAAAAAAGAAGGAAATACTTGAGTGGACACTTCAGGAAAAGGATATCTGCATATTTTCAATCTTATTTGTAGTCAGAGAAATGCAAATTAAAACCTCAATGAGATACTACTACTATTTACCAAGGAGAATAACTAAAATAAAGAAGAGAGATAATCCTAACTGCTGACATGGATATGTAGCAATAGGATGTCTCTTATATTGCTGGTGGGAGTTAAATTGGGACAATGATTTAGGAAAACTGCTTACATTATCTACTAAAGTTGAACATGTACATACCTATGACACAGATATTGCACTCCAAAGTGTATATTCAACAGAAAGGGGATCATGGTAACCAAAAATATTTCCAAGAATGCCCAGAGCAACATGATTTATAAAAATGAAAAACTAGAAACAATATATTGTGATAAATTCATAAAGTGGAATACTATGAAGCAGTAATACTGAATGAACCACAGTTATTATATTCAATAATATAGATGAATTTCACAAACATAATATGGAGCAAAAGAAGCCAGATGCAAGATTTATACAGATGATTTCATTTATAGAAAGTTGGAAAAGAGACACAACTGAACTCCAGTGTTAGAATGAGCGTAACAGTTACATTGGGGAGGAAGAAGGGAGTAGTGATGGGGAGGAGACATCAGAAGACTTCTGGATACTGGAAATATTATTTTTTAACTTGAATAGTTTTACAGCAATGTTCATCCAAGGACAATTCATTGAATGGTATGCATTTATGTATAGTAGAGTATTCTCTATGTATCTTAATATTCAATAAACATTAAGATACAAAAGCTCAAACTTTCACCCTATCATGGTATTTGAGAGAAAAAGACAAATAAAATTAGAATGTCTATGAATTAGAAAATTCTGAATAGAAGTGGTAAAACAGTCTATTACACTGGACCTCAGATTTGACATGCAGTAAACTACTCAGCAGACAACTGGTGATTTTCAGTTAAGTATGAGGCACAGGTATTAATGTATCCCTATGGCTACAAAAGTCAGAGATGATTATGTGTGCTCTGTGAGATTCCATTCATTTGAACGGGTATTCAGTGGGTGGTCTCAGCAAATTCCATAACTATCAAGCATTGGAATGAGAAGTGTTTTGGTGATATGATTTACTTTATCAATCAATTTAATCAAATTAGTCAAAGTTACTTTTGACCAGGCTTTGGAGAAATATAAACAGTGACCCTTCTGTATGGGATTGTTAGTTGATACAGGACTGAAGTTTTACCCTGATAAACAGACCTTCAGAAACTTATTCCATGAACAAAAATCTATGTGAGTGAGCACAGTTCCTGAAAATGTTCCCATCATCATCATTGGCTATGTCCCATCCTTGGGTACTGAATAAATGATGTTCTTGGAGTTCAGTAGATACAAGATTTCTGAAGAGCTAGCTGCAACTCTCTTAATGGTGTGACTCAAGGATATTAGGTTTTAGCTGGAAAACACACACACACACACACACACACACACACACACACACACACACACACCATAAGGGGAAGTCCAAAGAAGAGAAAGAGGGTTGAGTGCTTTTGAACCTTTAAGGATTGATGAAGACACATTAAGCAAATGTTTAAGACTTTCTTATCCTGTTTTATGCATTCAATGGATATATGTTGAGTGCCCTCCATTTCTTGTGACAGGCACTATTCTGAGTGCTAGGAATGATAGAGCAGGAACGAAAACAGATAAAAACCCGATTTCATGGAGCTTATATTTAATTGGAAGAGACAGAATAAAAAATTTTTAAAAACCTATCTTAGAAGTAATGAATGCTATGGAGAAAAATCAAAACAAGGATTAACAATTGTGGAGGGGGGGTTTCGATTTTAAATGGGGTGATCATTGAGAAGGTAACATTTGAGAAAGTACTTGAAGGAGGTAAGGAAGCATGTAAGCATGTATACACACACACATGCACATACACACACACACACAGATAGACACACCTGAAGGAAGAGCAATCCAGGCAGATGGAACAGCCAATGGAAAGGCACTAAGTGGGGAAATGTTTGGCTTCTGTGAAAAACAGCAAGGTCAGCAAGGCTGGAGGGGAGTGGGTGGTGGATAAAATTTTAGGAGACAAGGACAATAGTCGTTGCAGAGGGTCTGATCAGATACCACCTTGCAGGCCATTATAGGACTTGGGCTTTTATTCCTATTAATGTGGGAAGCTCTTGGAGGCTTTTGAGCAGAGGATAACTAACATGCTCTGACTTATGTATTGAAAAGACTGCTTTGACTGCTACATTGAGTACAGACTAAAGTTGGCTGAAAACAGAAGCAGGGAGACTAGTTAGGAGGCAATTACAAGGCCACGTAGGAGATGGGGTGGCCTGGGCCAGGTGTTTGCTGTGAAGATACTGAGAAGGGATCAGATTCTGGATATATTCTGAAGGTAGAGACAAAGGGTATTTAGTAGGTAGACTGTTATTTAGGTAGTTTGAACAGCTAACGTGAGAATAACAGAGGAGTCAGAAATGACTCCATGATTTTTGGCCTGAAACACTGGGAAGATTAAGTTGTCATTTATCGAGATACGGAAAACTGCAGAAAGACCGTATTTGGAGGCAAGATCAGGAGCTCAGCTGTGATCACAGTATGTCTGAGATGCCTAAAGGACACCCAGATAGACAGTTGAATAAGTTTTGAGTCAAGGGATAATTCGGGGCTGATCCTTTAAGCATGTGTTAATCACGCATGTATCGGGTCACTTCTTTACTCTAAACCCTCCTATTATTTCCCAGATATAAACTAGGGAGCTGTCAACATTTGGATGGTTTTTAGAGCCATGACAAAAGATGGGATTACCAAGTGAATGAAAGTACCCAAAGAAAGACAGAAGAGGTACAAGAATAGGCCCCGGGTGACTCCAACATAATATCTCACCAGCCCTACCTATGGGGAAAAAATATCCCCCAGGGAATAGGCCAGGGCCATCTAGACTTGTAGGGTTCAAGATGCTCTTTAAGAGGTGTGAGGAAAGCTGGAGTTTGCCTTTGTGTCCGTGTTGCTGGTGTTCCACGAAACAGTAGGGGATCTCTACTACCTCATCTGGGGGTTGAGGACTGGAGTAAAGCAAAACAAGCAGCTGTTAAATTAGGGGAAGTGACAACGCAGTGATAATCTGAAGATCCCAGGTCTTCAGATGAAAGCTCCCTCCTAAAGAGCCAGAATTTAACTTTGAGATTGGCATATATTACAACTGGTTACAGGAACATTGAACTAGGTATCTCCCAGTGGAAAGGAAAACAGAAAGACCTGTTTAACGTTGAAGCTCTGCCCCCATGTTCCTGAGAGCATACTGTGATAACTGTGACCATAGAGAAAAGAAAAAGCCAATAGCTGAAATGAATCAGGTTGTTGGGGGCCTGAGATAAGTAAGTGCAACTTGTTTACATGTAAAACATTTGTCTTGTCAATTTGGGCATTTTATCTGGAAATTATCCAAAGCAGCAATTATCTAGAGCTAGCATGCTAGACTGTTTATCCCTAGACATGGGTGGGGGATGAGGGGATAGAATGCAGGTTTTCATGGCACTTATAGAGTTTGGGAGGTCTCTTTTTTTTGTATTTAAGAAAAAGAATACAAAATTAGGCATGGGGCCATGGAAGTGACCTATGCGAGTGACGGCCCTAAAGCTATAGTTTTCCTAACTTCACAGAAAATCCACCTCTGACCCTAAACCCAGATGACAGAAACCTTGGGAGCAATAACTGATCACTTAATTTATCATGACCAAGTTTATCTTACAAGTGCCAGGAAGTATTCAGAGTTAGTCAAGCATCATAGGAAAACTCTCCTTTATGTCTATTTCTCACTCAAAGTTATTCAAATAAAAGGAAACATATTAAAGGCACTTAGATAAAGGAAGGCATAGTAAATATTCTTGTTCCATGAAATACCATCTTCTAACCACCTTAACAGATGCAACAGTTGAACAATCTAGCTGTGCTCCGCTGATATTAGAAATACTGTGGTCTGAGCCAAAGGACCAGTGATGGCATCAGGAATTATGTCACTGGCTATATCCTATATATATGTTTACCAGATAAAATACATGATATCCAGCTAAATATAAATTTCAAATATACAATAAATAATTTTTAGCAAAACGGTACCCCTACATACTTATGCATAGGACATACTTATACCAGAAAAGCACTCATTTTTCTGAAATTCACATTTAACTTGGCATCCCATATTTTTATTTGCTAAGTTTAGTAATGCTACCTACACTGATTTCTGCTTTGGGATACATAATGAGTGATAATTTGGAGAGCCTACTAAACAGAAAATCAAAGGGACAGAGGATAAATATTGTATTAGTAGGTCACATGGTTGCTTCCAACATTGGCCCTGACAGTTATCATTACTCATATAATAATACTCAACTGTCATATCAGAATCTGCAAAAGGGGGCTGAGGGTTGTGCAGAATTTGTGCATATTTAATTGACACAAATTAAATATTAAATATTAATTTAATTAGTAAAAACTATTCACTTTTAACTAATGAAAAGGATGGAAACTCTGCTTTTGTAAATAGGCAGCATTATTGGGAACACAATATTCTACTGCGTTCCCCATCCATAAGTCAAACCATCTGTAAGTCCAGGACTAAGTGTTATCTGTAATTGCTTAAAGTGCAACGTTGGTCAAATATGCATAAAGCAGCTAATTGTGAAATATGAGTAGTGGGTCTATTTGTTCAATGGGTAAAACTCACTTATCCTCCTTTAACATAGAAAATAGGATTAAATGTAAAACTTATGTCCCAGCTCATAGAGAAACTTACCAGAAACATGTCCAAGTACTTTGTTTACCATCCAACCCTTTTAGTTATATATCTAAGAATATTAATATTGTAGTACTTCATACTTTTTAAGTATTTATAGATATACGTATCGCTTCTCGGCCTTTTGGCTAAGATCAAGTGTAGTATTTATAGATATACTTATTTTCTTTTATTCCCTCCTCAAAAAATAATATTTTATTCATCATCCCCATTAAAAATTACGTATTCATTTGACAGATATTTAATGGGTATCGATTATGTGCTTGGAAAACAATAGTGAACACGACAGGAAAAGTTGGTCATTACAGAACTAACCTTCTAGTAAGAAATAAATAATATTTTAAAATAATAATAATAAAATTTCAGTTGGCAATATTGCCACGAAGATATAAAACAGAGCAAGAGAGACAGTGGCTGCTATTTTAGCTAGGATGGTGAAAACCCATTTGAAGTGGTAACACTTGAGTTAGACATGGAGCTTATATGATAATGATAAACCAGCCAGTGGAAATGGGAATCACTCGAGAAATGGAGCCACTCCTTGGAGAAGAAATGTGCTTAGCAAATGAGCTGCTCATAGAACAGTAAGGACTAGATGACTGTAGCAGAATGAGAAGGGTGTGGAAAGAGCTAAGGTTCAGATGAGGCAGAAGAGGTAGACACGACAAGGTCACATGGAGCCTTGAAGGGCATACTGAAGAGTTTGGGTTTTTTTATTTCCTTGTTTTTGTTTTTGACTAACCAGGGTTAGTCAAACAGACTAACCCTGGCATAGTGTGTGAGGGAGGGAACTTCACAAGAGTGTGGGTACTCAGAGGCAGGCAGGATCATTGAGGGTCATCTTGGAAGCTGGTCACCACTAATCCCAGATATATCTATATCTATAGATAGATAGCTAGATAGATAGATTTAGACAGAGTCTCACTCCATCACCCAGGCTGGAGTGCAGTGTCATGATCTCGGCTCACTGCAACCTCTGCCTCCTGGGTTCAAGCAATTCTCCTGCCTCAGCCTCCCGAGTAGCTGGGATTACAGGCACATGCCACCTTGCCTGACTAATTTTTGTATTTTTAGTAGAGATGAGGTTTCACCATGTTGGCCAGCCTGGTCTCGAACTCCTGACCTCAAGTGATCTGTCTACCTTGGCCTCTCAAAGTGCTGGGATGACAGGCATGAGCCACCACGCCCAGCCAAGAGTGTGTATAGTCCAGTGCAATGGGAGGGACCTGAAGGGGTTGGAGCAAGATAGTATTGTGATCCAATGCATACTGAAAGGATCAATATGGCTATTCAACCAAGAAAAATTGAACAGGGATCAAGGGGAGGAAGACAAAAGTAGAAGTAGACTGGAGGCCAATTGTCTAGGCAATAGATGTTGGGGCCTTGGATGTCACTGTGAAAGGGAGAGAAGTAGTCACGTCTGTTTGAAAGTAGGATCAATTGGACGTGCTGCTAAATTGGCAGTAAGAGGCAAGGGGAAAGATACATAAAGGATAACCATAGAATTTTTACCGGGAAGCTTGGTTGCTATTAACTGAGATGGGAACTGATGTTCATTAAAATTAAAACACATTCCCATAATCACACTTTAAGTACCAGAGCGAAGATTCGAATTCAGTTCTTCCTAATGCTCCAATATTTTGGGGTTGGTGAGCTGATTAATGTCTACTAGTGTGTTTACTTATTTAAAAGTCCCCCTTTTAAGCTATAAGCTCCTCAGTGACAGAGACTTGGTGATATCTGATATCTAGTCATAGGAAGCAGAGGCACATGAATAATGCTTTTTTGAGAACATTTGTAACAAGATATGACAAGTCTATCAGGCCCCATGTTTCCCATCACCCTTGGCTGATTCACCAATTTTTTTCTTTAAGGCAGCTATAGATGCTTTCTATAGTGTTGGTTTTGAATTCTGCTATGGAAGTACAAATGTCATTTCAGAGGCCTGCAAACTTTCCCCTTCTAAGGAAGTGTATGGGTGCAATTACGAACATATGTTAACGGAGATAAAACACATGCTAATTATTTCCCTACACGCAAAACTGTCTTGATGGAACCATCAACAGCCTTTATTTATTTGAGGAAATCTGACGAAAGAATATCTCATCAGCTATCTCATAACATTCTGTATTTGATTACCAGTTGAAATACTCCAAACTCCACACTAGTTTTTTCTAATTTTTTTAACCCTATAGGTTTTAATACCATGCAATTCTCAACCTCTGCATGACTTTTTTCTCCTTGTAAACAATTAGGAGCCATCTGGTTCCATGGATTTCCCGATCCTCCTGAGAATTTAAACTTAACACACCAAAAGGTTTGATTCGCCCAAGCACTACTATTACATTATTCAACTGGTTTTCTAGTCTTGGATCTTAAACAATATCTTCCTTAGAAAATCAGAAGAAATTTTCTCTTCATACTTCATATAATCCTCTTGCTCTATGTATAATACTAAGCTTTGAGGACCTCCTCAAAGCTATCTTGAAATGATTTACCAAAATATTTGCCAACTTGCCTCTTTCTATGGCAACATATAACTCAAACTGTATCACTTTGTCAATCCCAGTTTTTCTAAGTACCTGTCAAAAAAATTCAAAGGAGTTGGAGTTAGATAGAAAAGGAAACAGATTCCCCTTGGCACCTGTTTGTGCAATGTTGAGCTATGTCTGGGTACCCACTTCAATCTGAAACATTTGCATTCCTGATAAATAGGGGGAGTTTTTTCTGAGAAGGCTAATGAAAACAGAGATCTTTCTCACTCAAGATACTAACCAACTTAAAACACCCTGGCTCAAATCCCTTTCTGATAAACACCAAGATCTTATTATGTAATAAAGTTTATTGATATAGTATTAAATGGCCCATTGAGATGTAGCCTAAGGAAAACTTCTTGGAGATTTTTATTATGGCATATCTGGTAAGAAAGTTGTTTTAAACTTGTCAGGCAAGACATTATCTAAAAGGCTCTTTATTCAGCCTGAGGCAGTGGCTCACGCCTGTAATTCTAGCACTTTGGGAGGCCAAGGCAGGTGGATCACCTGAGGTCAGGAGTTCAAGACCAGCCTGGCCAACAAGTGAAACCCTGTCTCTAATAAAAATACAAAAAATTAGCTGGGCGTGGTGGGATGTGCCTGTAGTCTGTCCCAACTGCTAGGGAGGCTGAGGCAGAAGAATCGCTTGAACCCGGGAGGTGGAGGCTGCAGTGAGCTGAGATCACACCACTGCACTCCAGCCTGGATGACAGTGAGACATCATCTCAAATAAATAAATAAATAAATAAATAAAAATAAAAGGCTCTTTATTCAATAAACACACTTATACACACATAGAAGTGGGAGAGTGGGGGAGAGAGAAGAAAACTTCCAAAGTTACCTAGGTTTTTGTTGGACAAGATTAGATACTATAATGCTCCTCATTCTTATTATTTTTACTCCCCAAAATGAGGGGATAACAACTGAATTTTTCTCGTACACACTAAAGCCACAGTCTCAGAAAAACATATCCCACAATTTAAAGGAAGAGTGGTGATGATGGGTACAGAGGAGGAATTATCTTTCATACAATGCATTAAGATATTCCAAGTGATTTATGGATGTATTTGAGAATTAACGGATTGAAGCTCCTGAAAACTGCTAAGAGAAACTGAAAATGGAAACATTAGTTGTTCACATTAAATCTAAACATGTTTAGAGCAAGTTTAGGGACTATCACTTCTCAATGTGATAGAATAACTGGTACCAAATCTGTCTCTCTGCTGTAAACAGCTAGGAAATTGGACAAAATACATGAGACAGCTGTTTTCAGACGTTAGAAAACAGACACAGCACAGAAGTGTGAGTCTTCAGAACAGGAAAAGAAATGAGGTAAGCCCTAGAACCAACATGGCTTTCTGGATGTAGGCACTTCCAAGACTGCAGTAAGAGAGGAGGAACCATGACAAGGCAGATCCAACTTACTGAATTTAATAGACAGAGATCAGAGTTAAAGGAGCTAAAAGAGCTGAAATGTGAGGCACAGAGAGAAAGAACTCCAGAAATCTATACAGGCAGCTATCCTGAGTCCTTCATTGAATATTAGGCTACATATGCATGAAATGAAACTCTGTGAGGCCAGGCAAAAACAGCTACTGGGATTTGTGAGCTGGGGGTTGAGTTGCAGCCAGCCAGAATGGAGGCATTGCGGACCACCCTGAATATTTCCTCGAGCCTCCTGAAGAGGCGTGCTTCAAAAGGATAATTAAATTAGCCCTAAAGAAAAACTTACTCTAGACGCATACTCCCAAACTTAAAAATACGCTTAAAAAGGATCAGGTTGAATGGTAAGTAACTTAACTCCCTGGCAAAACAAAATTCGGCTTTCCAGAGGAAGACTACAAAATCTAGACTTTCTTTTTTTTTTTTTTTTTTTTTTTTTTTTTTGAGACGGACTCTTGCTCTGCTGCCCAGGCTGGAGTGCAGTGGCACGATCTCAGCTCACTGCAACCTCCGCCTCCCAGGTTCACACCATTCTCCTGCCTCAGCCTCCCAAGTAGCTGGGACTACAGGCACCCACCACCACGCCTGGCTAATTTCTTTCTTTCTTTTTTTTTTTATCCTACATCAGTTTTATTTAAAACACAAACAAGTATTTCTCTTTCTGTAAGGGCAAATGGTTCAAATAATGCGGAACACGAAACATTGACTAATACCAGTTTATTTTTTAAAAAAGCAAAAGAATAAAGAATATCTACAAAAGGGACCTGGAATCTGTAAGCTGATTCCAAAAGCGAAATAAGTAGAAAATCCGTGGTGAAACCTGAACATTCTACCCCTGCTTTGGAGAAGGGCTATCATACAACATTCAGTCAGCTGAAGATGGATTGGTAGAGGTGTGTCGATACATAAATTTCAAGTCATTTTTGCTTGTGCAGAATCATCCCAATCTTAACAAGACTGAATGGGCAGTCCTGTGGCTTTCTTCCTTTTCCATATTCCCAACAAGGCTACGTGAAGTTCAACTCTTGATGAGCCGCTTACAACAGCAGTTCCTTAGGAGCCAACATGACAGGTGGGGGTCAGATTTCCCTATGAGAAACAAAACTGGCCACCTACAGCAAAATATCAAAATGGGTAAGTCCTTCCTTCCTCTTCCTCCTGATTATATACAACATATCTCCTTTCAAGACTATTATTTCCATCATGCTTATTCCTTCACAAATCTAAACCTTGAGGTGATATGAAGGAAACCAACATCAAGAAAAGAAAACTCAATTCAGAAATGAAGAAAACTGGCAGGTATACAATATACCCCCAGAGCATCTCAATATCCCTGGCACAGTACAATTCAGTGTACTGCTACAGCCCATAGATAAATATTGGCAGCTTGAATAAGCTCATTTTTTCCCTCAGGTGGTTAAAGGCCACCACATAAATACTGGGCAACAGGGGTTTGTTGGGAGAATTAGAAATAAAAAATTAACCATATTTTGTCCCTGTGTTAATTCAATGCCAGCAAGGAGGCAAGTACTGAAGAAGAAAAGGGACAATTTTCATACTAAAAAAGAATTCCTCTAATCATGTCACCATCTCATATAATGAATCCAGGGAATCCCAGAAATAGAAAATTAGTTTCAGGGGACCCCTGAGGCACTTTAAAGCCTTTTAAAAAATTACAGTAATAATAAATTAGATATTGCTCTTCAGAGGCCAACAGAGCAGCAGAAGCATCAAGATCAGGTCCAAAGAGTTATGCCCACATTACAGGCTTCCTGAGCTGCTCAGCCCTCTTTAAAGCTTAGTTGAATCTCTAAATACCTTTAAAAAGACATACAATCTAACACAGACTGAGTGGGTATTTTTGTTTAGTGGTAGCATAAAATTTGGTCCTTAATGGTAGCAGCTGTCTTCATCCATTTCAAACTCAGGTAATATTAAGTACATCAAGACAATACATAAAGAATACAACAAAGGAGAAAAAAGCCAAAACTGACAAACACCTCAAGGAGTCACTAAGTTTGCTTGCACCCTTTCACTTGATCTCCCTCTCAGTCTCTTTTTTGTGGAGAGAAGGGTATGACAGAACTTTTTTCTCAAAAGATGATAAACAATGGCATCAAATGGACAAAATGGTTATAAAGTAACTTTAAAAATCTGACCCCAAGGAATCCAGGACACATACAGATAATTCAGAGGTATACTTCTGATTTGGGGCAAATTCTAGACTAAAGAAATGATCATCTCAGGTAAATGTTACAATAGATGAAACTAAGTCCAGTTTTTTGGCGATTTTTTTTTAAAGTGTCCTCACTACCACCTTCAGCTATCAATCATTTCTCATAGCTCAAGCGGAAGGTCATCTTCATCTTTCCCAGGATCCAGGTCAATCTCAGCTTCCAATTTGCCTCCTGAAATCTCCCATGTTAGTTTCTCAAAATCATCCTCCACAGAGAGTGGGGGCTTTCCTGTTGAGGCAGAGCTGAGTCGGCGAGTTTTCATGCTCATTTGGGATGAGGAAGGGCCAGACACCTCCGGGGGTGAGGAATCTGAAGAGGACTGGGTTAGAGGCAGCACAAGACTGTCTCTAGGATTTTCTGTTTCAGGCACAGTGACTGATTTGTCCTCAGAGACAAGCAGGACAACAGCATCCACAGCTGCCTTTTTGGCTGGGGGTTCCTGTAGGACGCTGCTGGAGCTGAGTGGCTTCACAGCGGCAGTGACAGCAGGGTGCATCTCCACTGCCTTACGTTTTGGGGCCAATTTGGGGGATGACACAACTTTAACCACAGATTGCTTCACGTTCACTGTGGGTTTAGCTTCACCCCTTTTTTCCAAGGTCTGTGCTGACCATTTCACATTCAATAATGAGTCTGCAATCCCTGAGGTTTCTACCTCCACCTTCTGGGATGACTTTGTGGGAAGCTGCTTGGTCAGGTGCCATGTGATTCCTGGCACAGCAGTGAGCACTGGTTTCTCTGCCACTTGGGTATTGCAAGAGGCTACATCTCCCTGAAGAGGTGTCAAGACTGATTTTTCCCTCTCCTGCTGTTTCTGCATGCGCGTCTCTCTCATGATCTCACATCTCTTGACTTGAATTTTAGTGATGTCAACTCCTGTGGTCTCAACTGAAGCCTCTGTAGCTTCCATTCTAACACGGCTCAGAAAATCAACTTCATTTCCTTCCTGAAGTTTCTTCTCTTCTTTCCTCCATGTTCTTTTGGTGATTCGCAGTAGCAACCTTGCCCCTGGAGTGGCCTCATGTTGAGACGGGGAGCTGGTGCTGCTCTCAGAGCTCTGCTGCACCCTCAGTGCCTTCTCCAGTTTAATTTCTTCCACCGTCTTCATGTGCACCTCCTGCATGGACTTTGTTTTACCTGCAGGCTCCTCTGATTGTCCTTTGCTGGCAACAATGGGTGGCAAAACTACTGTTTTTTTAATTTCACTATCAGTCTTTAGCTTGATGCAAGTTGTATCCTTTTTGCTTTTTTGTCTCTCTGCTTCCTGCTGCCTATGTTCTTCTTCAGCCAGGACCTCAGAGAAGGTTTTGATACGGATAGTGGAGGAGCTTCTTGCTCCTGAAGTAGAATCATCAGTTTTTGAAGGTCCTTCTGTCTTGAGTTTAGTTTGCGATTCCCCATGTTTCTGACTGGCTCTTTCAAGAAGCATTTCTTCTAATGTCTTCACATGGATCTCACCAACTTTATTAACTTTATCTGTTGCGTCCTCATTATTTGGATCAGCTGACATGCCTAATCGCTCCTTAAGAGACTTGGAAACTTGAGCTTTCTTTGGTGTTTCGTCAGTGTTAGTTTCTGGAGCTTCAACTTTCTTCCCTAGCCTCTGTGCCAGGCTGCGCTTTAATGGAGGATCACTGTCACCGCCTGTCGAAAATTTTCGTTTCCCCAGTGTCTCAGTAAGGCCCAATCTAACCAAGGGTTCTTCTCCTTGTTTGGTGGAGAGAGTTACTGTCCTCACCACAGTCCTGACATTTTCTTTTTCAGGACCTGGAACAGGCTCAGGGTGGAGTAAAAGACTGGAAACTCCTGAAGAACCCTCACCTTGCTCCTCAGATTTTTCCTTCATTTTCTTTGACTTAATTTCCTCAAGAGTTTTTATTCCAAAATGCAAACATTCACCTTGCTTTATATTGACTGCAGGTTTCCGGACAGAAGTCACTCGTAATCCATTGTGAACTTCAGGAGTTGGTTGCAGGGTAGGTGTTTTGGTTTCATCACCTTCCTCAGAAAACTGATCATCATCATCTTCATCATCATCTGCAGCATTAATTACAACTGGTGGATGCTTGGGGCTAGGAACATTTTCGGAACTTTCTACTTTCATAACGCTCCGCAGCTGAGGGGAAGGATTGGACTGGACAGACAATTTGTTCTGCTGAACTGAAAGTTGGCTAGCCTTCACTTCCTCTTCTGGTGACTCAGGCACAGTGGGCAACACACTTTTGCTCGGAGGTAGGAAAAGGCCATCAACATATCGTCCTCTATTGTGATGGAAAGCGCAGTTTAATTTTTGACATCCTGTTGGCTGATTTTCCCAATAACAAGGAATTTCACTGCGTTTTTTATCAATCTCCATGTGCCGAAACCTGCACACCCGTCGAAAACAGCGCCCTTCTTGCCATAATGTGCAAACAGTTTCATTGCCTAGTGCAGCTTCACAGTGACGGAATGGGCAGCTGTCACCTTTGGTACATGTAGAATAGAAAAAAAAATAGCAGTCTTCTCCTTGATTAGGCATGCTGGGTAGATTCTTAGATCAGAAGTGGCTTCTTGAAACAAGCCACTGCTTCCTCAAAGCAAGGACCAGGCTCCAAGTCCTCGTGAAATGGGTTTAATCTTCCAAATGACAACTTGATCACAGAAATTGTCTTTAAACTGTAATCATTAGCTGATTGCTCTCAACAGGAACGTCTGTGTCTTCACTGAGTTCCAATCTATTACGCCTGTAGGTCGAACCAACACTCAATCCATGAATTAATAATAATGAAGCAGAAAAAATTTTCCTCCTCACATTGCCAAGAAAACCTCTCAGCCACAATTCAAACACAGCATGTGTTTTTAAAACATCTCCCAACTACTGGGAGATTAAGTCCATTCAAATAACCTTTGTCAGACTGGAGACAGCTAGGGTTAGTTATCTCCTCAAAAACAAAACAAAAAAAAGAGTTCATTTAAAGATGAACTTGAGAGTCAAAGGATCATGAAAAAAAATCCATCTTCCATAGCTGAACAATATAATCTGAAAAACAAAAAAAATCAGTTTTTCAGTAAGATCCAATTTCTGGTCTTCAAGATTTCTTCACACTTAATACTAGTCAATTTTCCAGGAATTTTTTGGGCAGGGAATATCCCCAAATCCTAAAAAGCATCACTATCTCTAGTTCCACAGCCTCCTTCTCAAGGTCCAGAACCTTGAGATGGCCTGGAAGATGTCAACAGTATAGGCCTTCCCCACAGGAATCCGCACCAATTATGGGAGTTTAGGGGTGTTCGTCATTACGGTTTCACCAATCCTACAAGGAGTACGGAAGTGTCCCTGTTGCTCTTGACTCCCACGCTGAGGGCCAGGGGTGGGAGTGTAATGAGGGTGGGGAATGGGTGTAGGATACCGGAATAAGGTCGGTGGCTTTCTGTATGTGGAGTTTGAGACAAGCTCCAAAGTAGTGGGACCCGAACCGATGACACTATCCCCGACTCCCGCTTGCTGCCACGTCTTTCTTCTCGCTTGGCCGCTGCCGTCCGTCGTCCTCCCAGCAGCAGCAGCACTAGCAGAAAACCAAGACTGCCAGCGTCAAAGATGGCGCCCGGCTACAGGCTGCGCTCTAAGGCCCGGCCGGTAAAAGTGCCAGCACGACGCAGGGCGCGAGGGTTCTGGAAGGTGTAGTTCCTCTATGACGCGATGCCTAAGATCTAATTTCTTATATCTTTGGTAGAGACGGGGTTTCACCGTGTTAGCCAGGATGGTCTCGATCTCCTGACCTCGTGATCTGCCCGCCTCGGCCTCCCAAAGTGCTGGGATTACAGGCATGAGTTACCACGCCCAGCCCAAAATCTAGACTTTCAATAAAATATTTACAGTGTCTAACATCCTAACAAAAATTATTTAAAATGCAAAGCATCAGGAAAGACTAGAACCACCAAACTAAGTTGGTAGCAGAGGGGAAGCCACTAAATAAGCCGAATACTCGAAAGACAGGCATTGTACTCATCAGTCATTCCTGAGGGTGGGACCATGGTAAAGCTGAAAATCAAAGAATTGGTTGAAAGCTTTATGAGCACACAGTTAAACTCCTGAATTCTCTCTTTTATCTGTGCGAACAGCCTGTTCCATTCTTGAGCAATACACAGAGCCCAGGGATGTGGTGCAATACTACAGAGGAGAAATTAAGTAAAAATCTACTCCCAAAACAAAGGTAACAAGGTATTTTTCCCTATTCTGCTCTAAAAATGTGGGTGGTCAGGCCACTTCCCCTGACTGTCACTGAGTGGATGTAGGTAAAAGAATACAGACTCTGAGAGAATTAGAGAGTTCTTAAACAAATCAGCCAGGTCTCTTTGATCACAGTGCAATAAAGTCACTAGAAAACCACTCACAATGAATACATGGAATTTCAAACCATATTTTTTGGTGATTTATTTTTCAATATAAGTGGAGAGCCAAGCATAACCATGTAAGTTAGGAAATTCTCTAACTTCACAGCCAGAGACCAAAGTCAGTTGGAAGGTGGGGAGAAAATTCAGAGGAAATACAAAGAAGAGATGCATGTTAAACTTTTGAAAAAAACTCCAAAACTTAAGACTACTGCCCTCAAAGTAATAAGAAAAAGGTAGAAAAAAATAGTTTTCAGATCTACAATATGTGAACATTTTTAGTTCTAAGAGGTCTAACCTAAAAATAATATACTTCGCTTAAAATAGGAAGTCAAGTAAGGAAAAGATGAGGAATTTAGGAAACTGAGGATCCAAACCAGAAGACAGGCGGTAAAGCCTCCCAGGATGAAGGTGAAGAGTCATCCCAGAAAACACTATGAAGTGAGCCTGTGGATCTACCCATTCAGAAGAGGCATTTCTAAGGACAAAAAGACTGAGGCTGAGAGAATATCCAATGTATTTTGCATATTGAGGGACATGGGGAAGTAATGATGACTGGATGCTTAGAATAAGTAAACAAAACTAAAAATATAGTGATTAAAAACTGCCAGGAAAACAAAAATGTTCTGTAAAAGTAAATGCATATGACCTCTTTCAGCTACAAATGATATCACTAAACACATAATTATATAAAATGAATGTTAATTTATTACAAAATTAACCTAATTTTATATTGGGAGAATGATATAAGGGCTTGGTGTGTTTATCTGTGTGTCTGTGTGTGTGTGTTTTGGGGTAAGGAGCAGTGTAAGAAATGTAAATACTTCTCTTCCATAGGATGACATCAATGAATAATGTTTAAATGTGCTTTTTTATTAAGTAATAAATGTAAAATATTTTATTTGGAAATATTGAGATAAATGAAAACACAAAAATAGTTAAACATCTTATATAGGTGGCAGGATGAGTTAGAAATGGAAACGCACTGTAATATTTGACCCTCAGAAGACACTATAGTTATTCTATAAGAAATATTTGCATTATTATAGGAATATTTACATAGTATTTGATGAAAATATAAATTAAAATAAACCAGAATATTAAAACTTGGAAATAAATTTAAAACCAAAACGCCTGGCATTTCAGAAATTTTGGACTACTTCCAATGCATCAGAAGCGACACTTTCCTAAGAACATCCCAATGAGCTTTCAAACAATGGCCATTAGAAAGCAATAGACTGCCAAGTTGTTTTTTGGGGGGGGTCAGGGGAAGGATGTGGTGCAAAGGAAAAGGAAGTGTTGATATCTGATTTTCTTTTGTGCTAATTATAAAATTAGTGTTAAAAATATGTTATTTATTGTAGAAAAATTACCAAAAATAGGTTGTTATTAGGAAAACAAAAAGGTAAATGACCAGTAACTTTGCAAAAAAAGTGCAATTCATGAATTAAACACATACAAATCATAGCAAAATAGGACAGATTTTTTAATCAGACTGGCAAATACTAAAACATTTTATGATATGCAGAACTCTCCAGTGTTTGGGAAGCCCGGCATTCTGAACATCAACCTTTATAGAGAGGGCTTTGATAAGAACTATTAAAATTAAACACTTGATTTCCTTTTGATTAGGGCCAATTTTGCAAGGGATTTATCCTATGGATCCTCTCTATAGAATCCACTGATATATTTGTACAAGGACTTCCATTTCTGTATAAATATTAACACAACAAATTAAAACGCATAGTAACTACAGTGCCTTCTGAGGGTGAAATATTATGGTACATTCATATAATAGAATATTTGCAACCTTTGAAAACAAAATGTGCTAATTTGGATTGGTATCTCAGACATATCATTAAATGGAAAGATAAAATTTCAGAGCATTATATATTACTAAGATATAATCATTTTTGAGAATTTAAATATATATATATATAAATATGTATGTGTAGGTAGGTTTGTATTGTAGGTAGGTTGATATAGAAATGGTAATGCTAAACAATAAGGGAATGTGCCTAAGTTGTGTCAAAAATAAAATTTGAAAAATTCAAAAATTGGGAACAAGTAGGTTGTTGCTCTAACCACAACTCGTCAAATTTTAAAAAGACGAGTACACAAGAAAAAGTATTCTCTTGAGGACATTAAAGCTCAATAAAACAAACATCAAGTGGTCAATATAAAAATACATGAAATATAATGAAATATAAAAATAGGTCAATTACCATTTCAAATTTGCTATGGCCAAATGCAGATTCCTAGTTTCTACCCCAAATTTTCTCCTATTAAATCTTCCTCTTAATAAAAGGTGTCACTATCTCCACACAGTTCAGATTAGAGACTTCAGCAAGATCCTAATAGTTAACTGGCAAACTCTCTTTCAATTAGTACAGTTTTTGTTTGTTATAGTATCTGAGCTAGTACTTCCATATTACTCTTAATTTTCAAAAATATTCTCAATGCCGTAAGCTTCCCATATATAATTTAGAGTCTACCTCTTGATGCCTTTATTGAGATTTAATAAACTAGAGATTAGCTCAGGAAGAATTATAAAGATATGCCTTCGTATTCTTGTACAGGATATCCTGTTCATTTAGGAAGGAACTTTCTACAATTTTCTTTTCATTTTCATGGAATAACAAACAGCATTATGACTAAAGCTTGCATAGTAGAGGCACAGAACTATGTAATAATCTTGGCATTATACATAGGGCCCCGTGTAATCTACCACCCCAATCAGAACACTGTTAAAAGTGAAAGAGCACTATTAACAATTTACAAAGATACGGTTAAACAAGGCCTAGCACAGGCCAACAATTTTTTGCCATGTGGCAGTTGTTTTGAATTTACCTAGGTTTTTTTTTCTTTTTCTGTATGTGGAGGGAGAAGAGGAAAGGTATTGAAGGGAAGTAACTGTATTCTATGATTTTATTTCAGGTAACTTTGTTGGAAGGGTGTTTGATATAGTAGGTAACAGTTACTTGCCCAGTAAAAAATGCATTCAATACTCTTCTGTGAAATAGATGTGCAGCTGAGAATTTTGCAGATGAGAAAACAGGCACAAATATATTTATTTAATACATGTTTGAAAAGAATTAAAACCAAAGTTTTCTCTCCAAGACCAGTGATTTGAACACATCAAAGCATCCACTACACTTCCTACCGTTAATAATCTCAGTGATCCTTGACAAATTGCATTAAATGGCTAAGTTCTTTACAACTACAAGAAGAAAGGCTTGAACTAATTCACCTTTAACATTTTTGCTGGCTCCAAACGCTTACCGTCATATACAGTTATAAGTGTAATGACTTAGGTTCAGTAGGTTAATTTTTATTAATAATAACAAGCAAAGTGATTTGACATTGCTTTTCTCAGCCCATTGACATATTTATATGCTAATGTTAAGTGCCCTTTGAATGCTTGGTAAAGAATTCTTGAAAATCATGATACTTTAATTTTTTTTCATCTTTTGCTTTCTTTTTCAATTATGTATGTATATAAAATATTCAAAGAAATGCATATGGATATATTATATAATGTATTATTATATTAAAATGATCTAAGAATTTATATTAATAACTTATAACTATGCCTAGATATAGAGGAACCCAAGAAAAGTTGTTCAATGTATAATGATCAAATAAATTAGGCCTTGAACAGATGTGTGTGTGTTTCTGTGCACGTCTGTATTTGAAAGGAAGGAAAAAGTGAAAAATCTTTGTCTCTCTAACTCCAGAAAAATATCCCCACTTTTGTTGATAGCCAACATAGTTCTCAACATTAAACCTAAAATATATTTAAAATACATTTACATAAATTGCAGACTATTTCACAATTGTCTTCACTTACAAGAAAACTATGTAAAAAACTACTAGAAAAATATATTGGATAAATTGAAATTACTATGGGAAAATCTCGTCGAAATTTGCAAATTCATTAAAAATGTATCTAAAAAACTAAAATAATGAATGCATGAATTATGTTCATGTATTCAAGAGTACAGATATTTTAAAATTCAAAATATTATAGATTTAAAGAATAATATAAGAATACCTGGCATTGCCTTACAGCTACATCTTAAATAATTGCATTGAGTGACAAACTGAGTTTGAATAATCTTATATATATGTATATATATATAGTTGTGACAAAAGTAATTGTGATTTTTTTCCATTACTTTCAATGAAAAAAACCACAATTACTTTTGCACCAACCTAATAATATATGAATACACACACAGACACACACATTAGCATAGGCAGAGTTCATGATGTTATCCCAGCTAACATAGCAATTAAGTGGCAGAATATGTTTTTGAGACTAGATATATTCAGCACCAAAGTTATTTTCACTCATAATTCTGCACAGTAATCAAAAGTAATTTTGCCAAGAATGGACACTTTATGAAAATATTTTTTAAATGCACCCCACAACTATCTTCATTAAATATTTATTTCTGTGTTTTTAAATAAATGTGTGATTTAAATACTTAAATATATCAAAATAAAGTATATGACTAATTGGGTTTTTCATTTCTCTGTGTTTCAGATGCAGCTGTTCTCTTAGTTACATTGGCAGATTGTGTGTTGTCAATGTTGACTATTGCTTAGGGAACCACAGTATATCAGTGCATGGCCTCTGCCTGGCCCTTTCGCACAATTGTAACTGTAGCGGTCTGCAAAGATATGAAAGGAACATCTGTGAGATAGATACTGAAGACTGCAAATCTGCGTCCTGCAAAAATGGAACAACTAGTACACATTTAAGGGGATATTTCTTCCGCAAGTGTGTCCCAGGATTTAAAGGCAAGTTTTTTTTTTCCTGATAAATTAAATTTTCTAGTAAATAATGTTGTTAATATATTTATTTGATATATCTCAAATATATCTCAAATGTGTCTATTGATTGGTATTGTTGTCTCATTTCTTATTTGGCAAAGTAAAAAAAAAAATGCATTCACTTGAATAATAGGATTGCTTCTTTGGGCAATTTAATCTGACTACACAGCCTTGCTCATGCAAATAAGACTAATAAGGTCAGGCTGAAGCATTGGGAATATGATGGTATATGTCAAAGGTCTGAAGGGAAAAACAGGCAGCCATAAGCTCCAAATAATTTTGCCTAAACAGCTTAGTACTGCATTTCAACCTTTTGTTTGGCTGCATAAGCACATGGAGTGACAATTTTTTCTAGTTTAAGAATAAAATTTGGTTTCAGTATTGTCTAGGTCAGTTTGATGCCGTGACGTTAATAACATTTAAGAAAAAGTGAAGTCACAAACATACTATATTCTCTGTACAGTCATAGAGAACAAGATTCAGTGTAGTAATAAGGCAGCTTTTAAGGTTAAATATCAGAAATTAAGCATTCAAATTTAATTACCTGACATTTTTATGATTGGTCTTACATTGATATAATTATTTATAGTAATTTCAAACTTATTATCATTACCTTATAAAATCAGAACAGTGGCCATACAGAAAAACAATTACATTATCACTTATAAAACAAAATTATTTAAGTTTTGTCCAGTTGGATTTTCCATTTTATTAAGCAGACCCAATTCGAAAAGTTATTTGGATTTTCATCGTAACATGAAAAATATTTTCCCTGCTTGGTATTTAAAGTAATATGTTGAAGGTTTTGGAAGCAATTTAAAGATAAATTCCAAAAATGGAAATGGTGATATCATTGGAATAAATGTATAGCCATCCAGATTAGCTTTTTTAAGGCAAAAATAAATTTGAGCGCAAAAATTCTGGTAAGCTTGCTAAAAAGTTGGTCATATTACTTCACATTCAAACATATTCTAAGTAAAAATAAAATTGCATAAATGTGCTAGCATTGTTAAAATATAGGTGTCTGTCTTAGAAAATAGATATATATCATTTCTTTAACAATCTTCCAAATATCAGTAAATATATAGTTAAGCAGTAATTTTACATAAAATAAAGAATGAATTTAACTCTGCATAATGCCATTACTAACAGAATATGTAATTTGCCATAATCCTTTTGCATGGCTAAATACATATGTGTATTTGCAAACATGATCAATGAATCATCTATTATTTTTATATCAACTCTATATTGGTTGTACGTTATATGATCATTAAATATATATTGTGTATAAACTATATAGTTTTACCACATATATACATAATACTTATTACTGGAATATAATATAAAATTGGTATGGCCTACTTCTCCAGGTGGGGTTAAACACTATTATGTTTCTTTCACTTTTCAAATTAAACCCAACACAAGCTTCACAGGCCCATATTATAAGCAAGGCCTGTATTTTCTATTGTGTCTTTTTCTTTCCACTGAATTATAAAAAATCCTCTGGCTTTCCTCAGTTCAGTCCTACTTCTAAACTCTTCACACAGTGAGAAGTAAAGGAACTGATCTGCCTAAACTTTCCCAGGGATGCAGAGTTAATCCCACAAAAAGTGGAATCTTTTGGGGGCAGTTTAAAGTAGATGCCCCTCTTTCTCTCCAGCCCCCTTCTCTTCCTCTATCTGGTTCCTTCTGTTAGTTGTATCTCCCTTCATCTTGAATTCTTCCCATCTGATTTCTCCGTTTCCACCTGGTTTCTCTCCCCATCATATGATCCTCCTCCTTCCCTTTCTCCCTTTCCATTTGATTTCTCCTTGCTGTCTCTTTTCCCCCCTCCATTTGCTTTCTCTCCCTCCGTCTCCAAACTCATGTGCTTTCTGAAGGCATTTGTTAACATTTTAAAAACAACGTAACCATGGCTTTTTATATCAAGTATAATCACCTTTTATTTCCCTGATCCCCATCACATTTTTGGAAGTATTAGCCTTACGGTCAAATTTCCAGATTAAATGTCAGTCTCTGTATCTCCAGCCCAGAGGATCACAAACGTTATGTTAGTAGAATCACCTGGAGGTCTTGTTACAACACCAGTTATTGGCCCCACGTTAGGAGTTTCTCAGTTGGTAGCTCTAGCGTCCAGCATGTCTGGGGTGATCCTTACACTGCTGATCTGTGAACCACTTTAAGAAAACTGTTCTAAACCCAGTAAATTATGTTAATGAAGAGGAGTTGTATGGATCCTAAGATGTAAAATTCACTTCTGAGTGTGAACTACCATGAAACACAGCATGAGGAAAGCAGCTAGTCCAATCTTCTCTGCAGAAAACCACTAATCTCTGGAGTTCTTGAAGAAGCTGATACATTCATTTGGTAAGGCCATATGCTTGAGTGAATCCTACAGGATTTAAAACTGATTCCAATCAATTTTCTGAAACTCTCCAAATATTTTTAACTCTGGAAATAATTTCAAAGAATGTGTTTTTTCAGGTTATAACCTTTTTGCAATTCCAGTGTTATTTATATCTATAATATTTTAGTAATGAACTCAAAATTGATTTTTTTTTTTTAGTTAATATTCTTCCCTCATCCTTTTGACACTTTCAGCACTAGTATTGTCTAAAATTTTTACATGGTCAAAATAAGACCATGCAAGTTTATCGTCCTTCTTGATTTGAGTAACCATCTTCTCATCTTACTTTTCTTATGATTGTCTTGATTACCAGAGAAGTCTAGGAAGTTCTCCTTTAACCAATAGGATTCAAGTTCTTAGACAATATCAAGCCCAGCCGTTTCCTGTTTGAGATGAGACTGAGATAAGCCTTATTGATAGACTTGTTAGTTTTCATCTAATTTCCATGAGGCTGCTATCCTAAAGCAAACTCCTTTTCTGATACAATCTTATATATTATAAATTTGACTTGCAAATCTTTATGACTCTGTTCTCCAAAATGCCAACCAGACAACTTTATTCTATTTTTAGGTCTAAGTTACCTTGGCAACACAAAACTGTTTAAATTCCAGGATTAATTTCTTTTCCATAGGCCCCTTTCCTTTCCTTGTCTGCTAATTTTTATTTCTGTAGAAGTGTACTAGTATGTTTCAACCACGTTTGCATTTCAGCTGGAACCTAGCTCCCACTGTACAGTGCCAGTTATTGATGCCTTATTTTCACTGTTGTACTATATTCCTTCAGGTTATAATTTCATTTTCCCCAAAGCAGTCTACAAGTACCTAAAGGGGGTACTTTATATACAAAGGAGTTATATACAAAGAGAGAAACTTCTAGGTGCCTTCGTACTTCTAGAACACTCACTGGAGTGATCACACTGCCCAAGACTATCTCGTCCACATTAGAATTGAACTACTTCATGTTGGGTGTTCAAAACTGACCCAGTTAGTAAGATTTTTACCCTTGATTGCTTCCTTCGACATTCCAGTCTCTATACTTTGAATAGACATTTAATTAACCTAGCCCTTATAATCACCAATTCTGTTAAGACCTCATGGATAGTTTTACAGAAAACAAATTTATAGTGTAGCCTATTTTGTGTTCTGATCTTTTAAAAACACCAATGCACAAATAACATTGATTTTATATCTTATGTAATTGCTTTTATTTTGTATATATTTTCTTTTGTAATTTATGCCTAAGAGGAGAAAGTAGGAGATATTATATAAGCCCGTTGCTTGTATTTATGGTTTTCCCCAAAATTCGCCATGATATTGTAGTCTTCCTTCAGAAAATATTTTGTTTTTAGTCACCGGGGTTGTGCCTTAAATTCACTATGTTTTTTTGTTGGTATCACTTATCCCAGTATATTCTGTCTCTCATGGAGCTGCATGTACATCCCTCTCTTCATAAAAATTCCATTAACCTTTTGTATCTGCTCAGGGCTTTCAAGACATATTGTAGGATCACGTCAAGCTCAATTTCATCACTCTGCACTATATTCTGACATACTGGCTCTTAAACCACTCAGCTAGTGGCTTAAGTTCTCTGATGTAGGTAGAAGCAGGATCCTACTCTTTCGATGTACTGAGAATTTAGTTCTTCATGAAAATGAGCCTCATCTTTGAAGCAACATAACTCTTTTAGTAGACTCCAAAGATGAGTCTCCACAGAGCTGATCTGTCTCAAGGAGTATTCATCCCTAAATTCCCAGAGATGACCTCCTGGAGCATTTTCCTTTAGTTTTTGTCAACTTCCTACCCATTCATGTCATGGAAAGAACAACCTCCCTTATGAAAGGTTAACAGTGGATTTCATGTACATATGTTTATAACCTCCTTTTTTTAAAATAACACATGAATGTTGACCATCAGTGTATATCAATAAGATAAATATACAACCTCACTTTTTATGGCTTCGAAGTATTTATGTAACTGCATGTACCTAACTTGAAGAAAATTGCTAAATCAAAAAAAACATGTGAGTGGTTGTTGATTTGGTACAACCAAATTCTCTGTCCTCATTTACACTTCAACCAACAGTGTGCAGGAGGACCATTTGGTTTACACATTCACTATGCCAATTATTAATCATTATGGTTTTGACTTTCCTCCACTCTTAACATATCAGATTATATCTCATTTTGATTTTCACTTCTTGCAGCAGCAAAAAAAGATTGAGTGCTTACAATGTGAAATTTTTACAGGCTCTTTAACCATGTTTTCCTGAGAAGTGTATCTTACTTAGTTGCTGTAGTGCTTTATAATTTAAAGATACAACTTTTCTTATTATTTCTAGAGAGAATTACATCTGCAAATAAAGGTAGTTTTTATTTTCTTTTTATTATTTACTTAACTAATATTATGTTGTTGTTTAATACCATTTGATCAAATTTCTAAGACAAAGTACAATATTAATGGTGAGAGTAAACACCCATTTTTTTTCTTCCTGAATTTCAAAGGACTTTAGATTTCACTATCATTAAACATGGTGATGGCTTGATATTAAGGAGATGATAAATAAGATGATATCATTTCTAATTAAAACACATTAAATAGAAATAGAAGGGGAAGTAATAATTTAGCACAACAGCTGTTTAATAAACTGACATTTTACTTTCATAATTTTTAAAGATTTTGCAAATTGCACACACTGATGCACTAACAATTTTGGTCTTTTAGATGCGTTTATTAGAAGTTTTGTTTATGGCCTTACAATCTTGTGCTGACTTTATACAAAGATATGGAAAGTATTTCTGACTCTAAACTCTAAAATGTTTTAAATAAAGTGAGATAAATCATAATGGTTGCAAACATTTTAAAAATTCCTTAGGATTTGCTAAGAATTTGCTAATGTATATTACTGGAGTTACTTATAATATTCACATTTAAAAGTATAATTGTCATAGAATAACAATTCAATGATATGCAAAATTCTAGCTGTTCCAATCAAAAACTAATAAAACATGAGAAAAAAATATAGTCATAAAATCAAAATCAATTTTTTTCATCTTTTGTATTTTCTCTTATAATAGTTAGACTTTTCTGCATATCATTGTTATTTTCAAGAACTTATTTTCATAGATTTATTCTCAAGGTTTTCTCTGATTTTTGTTTAATACTTTATATGTTTAATGACAGAGTCCTTTCTCCATCTTTACTAAACTTTACAATGCTTTGTTCTTTGTGTTCTTTAATTTTTGATGTTTTGTTAACCCTTAGTCAATTTTTTATTCTGTCTGTTGTTTAATAATAACAAGTTTGGAGCTACAAATACTTTGGGTATTGCTTTGCCTGTATTCTAAAAATATTAAATTAAAGTTTCTTATTTGTACTATTTTCTAAATAGATTTCAGACTTGATTTTCATTTCCATTTATGAGTAAATATGGCATTTGAAAGAAAAGACTTCTAAATTTACTTGGCAATACTTTTTACTCTTTTGGTACTAATTTTCAGTGTTAATGTATCATTAATAAAGAACATGATTACTAATCATTGCTTTTTGGTATATTTTTGCTCTTAATTTTTTTGAAAAATACAGAAATGTAAAATTATTTCTTATTGTTCTTCCAATTGTAGAGAATTTCTAGCACCTACCAAGAGGACTGAAAGGAAGTGTGCTGAGAAAAATTCCTAAAGTTTGGCAGAAATACTGCTATGATTTGTTAGTAATGTGTGAATTTAGGAAGGAGTTAGGAATGTTGGATTCCTATGACTCATCTGTTATGCTTGGCTTAGCATGTGATAATTTTTGAATAGTGCTTGGATATTTGGAAGAAATTTACCTTACGCATATACTTCAAAATGTCTTTTTCTGTGGTATATATATCAGGCTGGGGGTAAGAATTATCTGAATACATTTTTCCGAAAGCAGTATTTTGATGCCACCTCAAATATAACATATCCACATATTTGGGAGTAGTCCTCAAGAAAAAACTCAGTGTTTCAATCTATATACCATACTCCCATGTGGTTTTAAAGTGTAGCTAAATGTTGGAAATTTGACTATATAACATTTACATCTATTTATAATAAACATAAATGTATATACATACACACAAACCCAATATAAATGAGTTAGAGGTCCTCATGCCAGTTGGTTTTAATAAGTTTCAAGTAGTTCTAAAATTTTACCTTTTAAATTTTGAGCTATATTATTTAGCATATACTTAAAAGTTTCTTATTTTAATCCATATTTGTATAAAATAAACATATTTTCTTATTTAAATCTATTTATGGGATACTACTTTTGCCTTTATCTTTTATTTGGAGACTTCACCTACTTTCATTTTATGTAGTTAGTTTATATTAAGGTTTAAATATATGCCAACACTATTTGTTTTTTATTTGTTTCATCCATTCTATGTTATATTTTTCCTTTTTATGTATTCTTTTCAATTGATTATTTTGTCTGTCCAATTTCCCCTTTATTGATATTAACACTTACCTTTACTACTCTTTAAGTGCTTAACCTAGGGATTGCAATACTTTTAATTAGCTTACCATATTTTAATAGAAATTGGTACTTGTTACACGTTCCAGACAAGGTAAAAGTCATAAATATTTAACCACATTTAATCCCCTTCACATATATGTGCATATGTATTATTCCATATATCTTTAAAATAGCAGGAGACATTGTTATCATTTTATACATCCAATATTAGATTTACTCACATTGTACTATTTTATTGCCCTTATTTATCTCCTACATTTGTGAAATTCCAACTAGTGTCTTTTGCCATATGTATGGTAACTTTTTAAGCAGCTCTCGTGTGTTGAATTCTCCATTCTCTAATTACCTCTTTCTTTCACCTTTATACTTAAAAGATGTTTGATGGTAGGAGGTCAATTTTAATTAAGTAAAATGAAAGAACTGTACCAAATACACATGTGTGTGCTTGTATCTATGAACACATATATACATATGTGTTTGTTTGTATCTATCTCGTATTCTTAGTCCTATAATAACTTTGACTCCTCTTTGTCCATTCCTATATTTTTTTAAAGCACACCATGGTACAAAGAATTCAGTGGAAGACTCAGACAGCTATAATACCAAATATTTCCCATATTTTTTGTCAGAACTTCAGCTATTCACTCCAGTTCTTTATTTATAGGATTCCCTCAGACATAATATGTTTGTCAATATGTTTGTCCCTCAGACATAAGTTTGTCATTTCCTACAGGTCCATTTATACTCCTTACATTCTGAAAAACAGGAAATAGAAAGAGGGCTAAAGATATTTAACGAATTTAAAAAGTCCAATATTTCAAGATAATTATTCTGCTACATAATTTTCATTTTATTTAACAACTAATGCATATTTAGTCCTATTAGTAGAATACTGTTCTATACAATGTCTGATGAAATTATTGATGAAATCAGGGAAATAAAGTTGGGCATTATATTTTTGCCTACTTTGATCCCTGGACTTTGAGTGTACCGAAGGCTAATCTAACCAAATAGAATATAGGAGCTCTAGAAACTTTTTTGAAAGGTAATATAAAAGAAAAGGTTATGGGAGACAGAACAGTTTTTCTTCACTTTGGAAGATTCTTATGAGTCCTTTGTGAATTTAAATATTTAAACATCTTCCCATAAAAAGGCAAAAAAACAAAAATTAAGCAGAAAATTTGTGACTTTTTAAATGGCAAAGGAATTACAGACTCATGGAAAGTAGTGTGTGTTATTATAATTAGATGGCAGCTCTTTAGTACAACACGTTTTGTTTCGTTTTTTTTCAGAATCTGATTTAATTCTAAATTGGTTTCTCCCAAACTCATTAAAATGCAAAAGCTATACAAAACATTGTTTGCATAATTATAAAATAATTTACTAAATGTTGCATTTCAGGAAGGAAAAGGTTATGTGCAGGAATTTAATTAGTGATCTGGCAACACAAAATATTTGATGTTGGTTCTAATTGTATGCACATCTGGGATTTTCTCCAAAAGAACTACATTTTTAAAGGTTAAGCATTTATATTAAAGTGTTATAAAATAACCATCTTGGGAAGTGACCCCAAGGGAAATGACCAAATATATTCATCATAACATGAAGTATTTGTAATGATATGTTTAGCATTTATGCTGAGCCCATTTCTACACTGTGGAGTGGTCCATAGTAAATGGTAGTAAAATTATAGGTGTGAGCACCATTCATTCTGTACCAAAGTAGCTAAAGGAGACCTGGTTTCTGATTCTGTTTCATCTAAATATGAAATATCTTATTTTTTTTCAATTTTCCCATTATTGGTGTATAGACATTCTATTTCCCCTCTGTATACCTGCCCTACTTTACTATTAGGATAAATACTGAAAGGATCTTGAGCTTCCTGCGGGAAATCCAATATATTAATATAAGGTGATAACACTACTGAGCCCAAGACTTTTATAAGCTGCTCCCGGCTTTACGTAATTTAATTTTCTTACACATTCCCATTGAAGTTAAAAGAATCCCATTAAGAAATCAATCAACAATACAGCACCCATACAAATGAACAAATACAAAACTAAAACCCCATTCACTACTTTTAAAATTACTACTCTTCAATTAACTGCTTTTAAATCAAATATCAAGCAGCCCAAGACCACAGATAATTTTAAAGTGTGGGTTTTTAATTTTAATGTGAATTTACACAGCATAACTAAGTGGCATATCACTGAGACTTTATTTTGATAGCTTGTTTTTCTTCCCTTTTTATTCAGAACATTTTTAGTACTCTCAAAGAAAGAATTACTGTTATTCTTTGGGTAGAATTTTTGGTATTCATTTCTATAACTTATGTACATGGATAATATAGTTTTATCAACATTAAAGACATCACATGTTAAATTTTGAAGATATATGTATATTTCTGTGGGTTACAGGTCCTGATTTTTAATTCAACACATGTAGAAATGTATTTTTAAAAATTTAATCAAGAATCTGTCTTGATGGATAGTCAATGACTTTTGCCTGTGTTATTAGAAAATGTAATATTTGAGCTGATCCTTGAAAGATGAATGGGATGAAACTGAGTCTTCCAACACTCCATGAAATGCAAGGTAACTGTAAACAAGAAAGAAGTGAGAGAAAGACAAGTCTACATTTGGCAGAGATTGAGATAATGTATAAAAGGCCAGCTTAATTTGGAAGTGTGATATATGCATACTGTATAATTATTTTAATTATCAAGCAACTGAGAAATAACTAAATGAGAGTAAATGAGAATAGAGATTAAAATGAACAGGTCTAAGTATGAAAATGACACATTTTCAATGAGAATTAATTTTCTGGCTGCAAATTCTAACATAATTTCTGTGTTTAGATTTTTTAAGGCATAGTATGGAAGTGATTGGTTAGAATTTCCCTCCTGTGACCTAGTAGCTTTGCTAACCCAGAAAAATTTTGGTGTTAACCTAGGCAACCTCACGATGGGTGAAGGCCAAAATAATCAGTGAACTACCAATTTGGTCACCCTCCAGAATACTGATAAAAGTTGTGTAAGTTCCTACAATACCTGGGGAACTTTTTCTCCTGATTTTTTATACCATTATAAGTTAAATGATATAGTTGTCAAATTCCATTCTCTTTCTAACAGATACCAGGTTAGCTCTGCATTTATAATTCAATGTGATATGACAGTAATATTTCTCGATTTGTACACTTAGGACATTTTCTATCATTTAATACAGTCATATTTGTTGACACTATACAATTTATATTTTTGTAGTTTTTAAAATTTATCTGAAAATGTTATTTTGCAGCTACATTATATAAACAGCCTCCAAAAGCTGCTGAAGGAAAGTACCTTTCCAAAATGATCTTTTTTATGAATAGAAGATAGCATGGCTTTTCTTGCTGTTAGGGCACTTCTTAAAAGATTTCTAATCTATACAATTTTCAAAAATGCTGACTAAATGTAAAAAGCATTATAAAACAGCATCCAAAAATGCAAGAGAGGAAAGATACATTTTTTGCATTTCTCAGAAAACTAAGTGATTTCTCTATCTTTTGTTATTTTTGCTACAATGTAAAGGTGATACTGCCCTGCTCTCATAAATGAAAAGTTGATTGTCTTTAATTTAAATTCCATGGAAAATAGAAAAAAATGCAAATTATTCATAGTAAAATAGCTGCAAAATACAATTGCAGAGTAAAATTTCACATAATTAGGCCACAAAATGTAGCAGAAAATAACACAAATTTAAACACAATCCTCAAAGGGTTTATTTGATGTTTTAAATTTTAACATATATTTCTCAATTTTGTAAAAGATACCACGTATCAACAATCACTTTGAAAGCTTCCATTACATGTCATTCTTTTTTCTTTTTTTTCAGGGAAGACCTTTAATAGAAAAACATAGCCAGAAAACATCAAACACTTACAATAAATATGCACATGTTTAAGAAAGAAGGAAAATAGATTTGTTTGCTTTTAAAGATATTTTAGTGTTTTTATTTCATTACAAATAGAATACCTCTTGTTACATGAACACTATGTAAACATGCAAATTAATCAGATGTTATAAGTTATAGGATGATCTAAGCTTATTGCTTCAAACAATCTTTCAATAAGTTAGGTATTTTTAAATACGCTTCAACAAAGTTATGTATTATGGATTCATCCATCCATTCATCTGTTAACAACCTGTTTATTCTTCCATACTTGTATTTACCTTGGCATAAGGTATCAAGTATAATGAGGCCATAGTGATTAATTATACATTTAAAACCATTTAGCTATGTGGTTCCTTTTTTATTTATACACCAAAAATGAATGATGATTGGAGTTATGTTAGTTAAGTTCAAGCTGGATAGATCTGTAAGCCAGGATATTTTCAGAGAAGCATAGGTGGGTTCTCATTATATAGCATTAGATAATATTCACTATAATAGATATTAACTTTTCAATTTTAATAGTTATAAGCATACATGGTAAAAATAGTTTTTAAAATGATATTTTTTCTTATGGTATACTTAACAGCTTCTGACTTTTTAAAAATCACCTGCAAAAAAAAAGTAGTAGCTTTTTTCATATGGCAACTGAGACAGGCAAAATGTATTATTAAAAACAAAATGGCAGAAGCAGGATATTCACATAAGTTATTTTTAGCAAAATAAAAAGCACAAAATTTGGCCAGACTTCTTTTTGAGAAGATAGATTTTCTGTTATCTGGTAGCCATTAGCTTCCCCAAAGTTTGTGGCTAGGGCATTGCGCAGTGTACAACATGAACCTAGCAACAGAACAGAGGCTAACTGGAGCCCACAGCCACACAGGAAATGTGCCATTTCAATTCTTGGCAGGTGAGAAAGCAATCGCTCCAGAATCTTTCAACTCTTCCAGGAGTACTGGTGCATCGCTTTGATGGAAAACGTATATAACATTCAGTCAATCGAGTTTAGATCACGTAAGATTTTAATAGTGGCCACAGAAATGGCAAGAAGATTAAAATAAAAATAACCTACTATTTTGTAAGCAATTATTTAGATTGTTCAGATTTCTGCTCATACAAATTAATTCACTTAATATACAAAGCTCAAATACAGCCCATAAAAATTTGCAACATAAACCAAAATAGAAACTAATATTGACACTGAAAAGTATAATTCTTTATGAGATCTGCTAGAGATGAGAAAGCTAGCTTGACACAAATGTTTTCTTAAAAAGGCATAGATACTGTGAAAAAAAGGTTATGAAATGAGACCACCGTAAAAATGAATAGCCACTTGAATAAAATTGGAGAAAAGTAGAGTTAACAGAGTAACTCTATTTTACTATTGGCATAGTAAAATAATCTCCATTAAAATCAGTAAAGAATGGGATTAGTGTTACAAATGTCAAGTCTATAATATGAGAAAGGAATTTAGAATATTTTAAATGTAAAAAAAATAGAAAAAATAAAAGATGTTATTAACAAATAGTCACGACAATGAACTGCCACCATATTGATAAATGTTGCTACTAAATGCTAACAAATAATAATCAAAAGTAAGATATAAAACTAATTTCTAATCCATATAAACAACTGATATTATCATTTGGAATTATAAAATAAATATCAATGTATCTGGTTTAACATCATGAGCTGAAATATTTTTTAAAATAAAAATAAAATTATTACAGAATGAGACTTGTTCTTTTTAAAGTTCAGTGCCAAAAAGATCAAGTAGAACACTAGCTATGGAGTTCTGATAGGAAAAATATTAACTAACAAATAATATTGAGTCATATTGTTTTAATTTTGTGGGAAAAAAGAAAAATTAGTATTGCTTTGGGTAGTTGAAAATGTAGTATATTAACAAATATCAAATTTTTTAAATTATGCATTTTGCAAGATGATAGACATGTCTAATAACATATAAGCAGTCACTAAAATGACAAATTTTAGCATGTGGATGTATATATATTTAATTTTGCCTACCTGTAAAATGAATGGCATTTGGAGAAAATATGCTAAATTACATGAAACTTTTTGAGAAATGAAACAATTTAAGAAACTCTGCAGACTGAGCCATTTAATTGTACAAATAAGACCAATAATCAACAGTATACAAATGCTACTGTATTTATTAATAAAAACATTATAGTTATAGAGCAATGAAGTAATACTAACAAAAGCATTGTACCTAGAATATAAAGTTAAAATGTGCACATGTCTTTATGGAAAGCCATTATTAGTGAGCTATTTTGTTAATATCTGTGACATCAATTATTGACAGTAAAAATGTATTATCTCATTCGGCCCCAGAAAGTATGGAATGTTTACAGTGCTTATGAAAAATTGGCTATATTTTCCAAGTTAAAGTTTTCTGTTCTATAATCATGTAGTAAAATTTGAAAATCAGCATTGCACACAATAACATACTTAAAAATTTGCTCACGTGTTAACAACTTATTTTTGTTTTACTTTTAAAACTATTACTATTTTTTCTACTTTCAGACATTTTAAGAGCCAATGTTATGTTTTTATTTAATTTTAGTTCATTTTGTTATTCAGTATATTGTTAGAAATTTGTTGAATTGTAAATCGGTACTTTTTATAAATGTATGATGTACAAAGCAATGTTTTGATTTATAAATAGAATGTGGAGTAATTAAATCAAACTAGTTAACAGATCCATCACCTTAAATATTTAATATGTTTGTGATGAGAACATTTGAAATGTACTCTCCTAGTAATTTTGAAATGTATTTAATACTCTATTATTAACCTATATTCACCATGCTGTGCCATAGAACTATATATATATTTTTTTCCCTCCTGTCTGAAATTTTGTATTCATTAATCATCACCCCCCACCCCCACTCAAATCCTCCATCCTCTGTAACAGTCACTCTACTCTGTTGCTATGACTTGAATCGTTTAAGATTCCACATATTAAGCATTCATTTCAGTACTATTCACAATAGCAAATATATGGAATCAACCTATTATGCATCAACAGATGAATGGATAAAAAATTTTAACATAGATGTACTGTTTAAATATGTTTAAATTACCCAAATACTAAATAAAATTAGAAATACAAAACTATAGGTAAAAACTAGGAGACATATTTATCTAGAAATGGAGTTTTCCTTCAGAAGAACTTACAGAACCTGGTTCATCTGTTATGAGCTTTCAAAAGAAGTCCCCAATGTCATTAGTATTCAATCCATACCTATTCTCTTTCTGATATGAGGCCTAGTAGAAATATATGGTTTTTCTCTCTCATGCTATATGTGACTATCAAGGCTTTATCCTTTCTTAGTTGAGATTTCAAGTAAAGTACTGACATATGCAAGAATGATTACACGTTCAAATGTACATTTATGTGATCTTTCAAAAGTGTGCAGCTGCAAGCATTCACAGAGTTATACTGAGAGTGATCTTTCTGAAATACAAGAAAATAACATAACACACAAGCTCAGGACACTATTTCCAATGTTTAAAACTGTATTTCAAAGTAATTTTCAGTGACTAGACAGAGACTAATTATCCCACAATAAGAACTACATACATTGTGAGTTATAAAAGGAAATTATTTTAGTGTTAATTATAGTGAAAATACATCTGAAATATTCTGTTGAATATTAACATTTATCTTTAATTTTGCTAGTTTTACTTACAAATACTACTTCTAATAAGAGTAGTTGAATATCAAATTAATATACTCAAAATAGAAAACAAAATATAAGTGATTGTTAACTTAATAATGTTGCTTAATGAGAGGTGGTATAGATAATATTCCAGATTTTCCAAGTATCACTTTATTAATGATGTATATGTACATATACATATATATGACAAAAAAAACTTACCTCAATAGTTAGGTGTTATTATTTCTTTTCTTTTCTTTTTTTTTTTTTTTTGAGATGGCATCTCACTCTGTTGCCCAGGCTGGAGTGCAATGGCATGATCTTGGCTCATTGCAACCTCCATCTCCTGGGTTCAAGCGATTCTCCTGTCTCAGCTTCCCAAGTAGCTAGGATTACAGGCACACACCACCACACTCAGCTGATTTATATATATATATATATATTTTTTTTTTTAGTACAGACGGGGTTTCACTTTGCTGGTCAGGCTTGTCTCGAACTCCTGACCTCAGGCGATCCGCCCACCTTGGCCTCCCAAAGTGCTGGGATTACAGGCGTGAGCCACTGCGCCCAGCCAGGTGTTATTATTTCTATGTATCAGATGAATTAATATCATAAAATAGCACTGGAAATTGTAATTTTACATTACAAGTATGTGAAAATTATATCCCCCACAGACCGAATTAAAAAAATGAAATCATGTAAAAGTAACTTACAAATATTTATTAAACCTAAATTCATAAGAAAAAATTACAGCTACAGATATTTATGATATAAATTATACAGCATTAATTTCTTAGTATAGCTTGAAACTAGCATTCTATGTGAAACGTCAGGGTGCTCAAATAGGTAACTTCACTATTAATAATTTCCAAGTGCCTCTAATTAGCTATTATATCTTGAAAATATACTTACTACATAAAAACTAAAGTTATAATTCACCCAACATGTCTGATACAGACATTTGTTTTTGAGAATAAACGCATTTCCTAGTGAGAACACTCAGTAGTTGTACAGTGCTGGAGGTGGCGTCGATGGCAGAATGGAGGGAGGGGCTGAGTGAAGGGATGTTCTGTTGACTAATGAGTCATTGTTTGTGGATTGGAAGAGTGGCTAACAAACTGGAAATTAGTAACATTATTTTAGAGATGCTGTTTAGTAGGTAGGGGAAGTCAGTTAAGTCTAAAATAAAGCTCCTCTGAGAAGAGCAGAAATAATATAAATCTACTTCTTTTATCCAGTACTTTATTAAGTGACTTTATAAGAGGATACCACAAAAAAATAAGTGGTTGCTATCCTGGGTCTATTTCCAAGTGATACTGAAAATGCTCTAGGAAAGCCTCCTTTCCTGAGGTATTCATTATTCAGAGATTGTCTCCTAGGAAAATTAAATAATCTGAGGAACTCCTGTATTTTCTGGGCTGGTGAATGTCAAAATTATAGAATTGAAATCATGTTGGGAAAAGAATGAACACGTTGTCTTTTTACAAAATCTTTAGCAAGATGTAAACAATCAAGATGTCACATAAGAAAGGTTTATGTAAGTCTACATTTAAAAAAATGGGAAGGATTTATGTTGATTTTAACATGATGCCAGAATTATTTAAAGGATGCTTGATGAGTACTTAAAATAAAAGTTTATTTATTCACTCATTTAGTCATTCATATATTCACCCAACAGAATATTATCAGTTGTTATACTTACTGCTTGTCAGACATGCAACTATTTTGGGGGAATGGCTAGGGAAAAAAAAGAAGAAAACACAGATGAACAAAGAAAAAGCCTGTCTTCTTTTGGGAAGCTAAAATTTTACTGGAGAAGACTGAAAAATATAAGTTAGGGAAAGTGTGGTATGTTGCCTAATGTTATCACTTGCTACAAAGGAAAATAAAGTGAGGCAATAGGAGAAGATGATATGGTGAGTAGAAAGCTATTTTAGATTGATAGCAAAGGGAGAACTCTAAGGAAATGACATTTAAGCAGAGATCTAGAAAAAATAAGGGAAATAACTATGAGAAAGTCAGGGAGAAAGAAAGTTGCAGGAAGAGAGAGCCCTAAGCACAGACATCTTGAGGTAAACAGGTACCATATTTGTTATTTGTTATTATTATTTTTTTTTATAGAGCCAGAGCCTCACTCTGTCGCCCAGGGTGAAGTGCAGTGGCGTGATCTTGGCTCATTGTCAACCTCCACTACCTGGGTTCAAGCGATCCTCTCACCTCAGCCTCCTGATTAGCTAGGACTACAGGATGCCACCACATCCAACTAATATTTTTGTATTTTTAGTAGAGATGGAGTTTAGCCATGGTGGCCAGCCTGTTCTCAAACTCCTGACCTCAGGTGATCTGCCCACCTTGGCCTCCCAAAGTGCTGGGATTACAAGCAGGAGCCACCGGGCTGGGCCACAGGTATCATATTATGTAACACCTCATAGGACCCTCTTAGAGCCATGACTGACCAAGAGTTAATCATGACATCTGAGACTCAGATACTATTTGAATAAAACTCAATGGCTGAGTGGTAGTAAATGTAGTATATTTCACAGAACTGTTGTACAATCTCATGTCATCTGGCACAATAGAAACAATTATGAATTGACTAGAAGAGTCAGCAACAAATGATAAATTATATACAATAGTGAGCATGACAAAGTAAACTCCTCTGACTTGGGCCTTGTGTTTAATTCAAATTAAAAACAAAACCCTATCAGTAACTGGGGTGAATACATTTATGCCACACTGAATAACCTTGAAATTGATCCTCAGAAATAAAAAGTAGAGTCAATATCCAAAAAGATTGCAGCAAAAGAATGGCATTATTAGAAAAAATAATTTTTGAATAATGTAATATATAGATATGAGCTGCTGTATTAGGGTTCTCCAGAGAAACAGAACCAATAGGAGATATATATATATAAAATACATTTCTATAAAATATATATAATATATATTCTATATATAGAATATATAGATTCTATATATATATAGATTTCTATAGAATATATATAAATTTCTATAAATATATATATAGAATATATATGGAAAGAGATTTATTATAAGGAATTGACCCACATGATTATGCAGGTTAACAAGCAGCCAGATCTGCAGTCTACACCAGAAGAGCCAATGCCATAACACTCCCAGTCCAAAGGCCTGAGATCCAAGACAGCCAAAGCTATAATTCCAGTCCACAGGCCAACAGGCTCTAGACCCAGGAGCCAATCTTTCAGTTTAAGACGGAAGGCAGAAAAAAAGAAAAGAAAAGAAAAGAAAAGAAAAGGAAAAGAAAAGAAAACAACCTGGTGTCCCAGCTAAAAGGTAGTCAGACAGAAGGAATCCCTCCTTATCCAGGTGTTATAGAAACACCCACAATGTTTAAGCAAATATCTGAGTACCATGTGGCCCAGTAAAATTGACAAATAAACATTGTAAGTCCATCCCGTGTTAACTTAACCACCCATATGCATCTCTTTCATACTCAATCTCCAAATGAAGACAATAGCTAGGTCTGAATCTCCTAACTTGATACATCTATCTTGTGTACAGTGGAAAATGTATCACCACCTGCTCTAAAAAGGAGGTAAAGTCATTGAGTGACATTTGCTTTTCTTCATATCCCATAACTTAATTACTATGATGGATAAGTCAGTTTGGTTTCATATGACAAAGTACCACAGACTGGGTGGCTTATAAAGCAGAAATTTATTTTTCACTGTTCTTAAGGATAGATGTTCAAAATGAGGGTGCCAGCATGATTGAGTTCAGGTAAGGGTTCTTTCCCGGAATGCAGACTGCTGACTCCTTGTATCCTCACATAGCAGAAGAGGAAAAAAAGTTTTCCGGGGCGCTTTTTTTTTTAATTAATTAACTTTTTTTTTTTTTGACGGAATCTCACTCTGTGGCCAGGCTGGAGTGCAGTGGCATGATCTCAGCTCACTGCAACCTCTGGCTCCCGGGTTCAAGCGATTCTTTTGCCTCAGCCTCCTGAGTAGCTGGGACTACAGGTTTGTGCCAACATGCCCAGCTAATTTTTGTATTTTTAGTAGAGATGGTGTTTCATCATGTTGGCCAGGAAGGTCTTGATCTCCTGACCTCGTGATCTACCCACCTTGGCCTCCCAAAGTGCTGGAATTACAGGCATGAGCCACTGCACCCAGCCCTGGGGTCCCTTTTGTAAGGGCACCAATCCCATTCGTGAGGACTCCACCTTCTTATGTCTAATAGTTACCTCCCAGTGGCCTCATTTTCTAATGGCGTCACACTAGGAGCAATGATTTCAACATGTGAATTTTGGGGGAACATAAACATGTAGTTTGTTGTCATGATGTAAAATTAACAATACTTCAATACTTTGTTATATGTCTTATGTTACATGACCAGGAAATAAGAGAGACAATAAAAAATATTTTATACAAACATGCACATATTTATACCAAAATAAGAAGGAAATGCTCATGTCAATTACAGTTATCTTTTTCTGTAACTAGTCACATGGTCACAGCTGGCTGTGACCTAGGATAAATCCCTGCTTCTTCTACTACCCAATCTGTATTTCTTTTGGCTTCATTAACTACCTCAGCTGATCTTGGGTGACCTAGATGTTTATTCTTGAAGAAACTTAGCCATTAGTAGTCTTGACTGGATTCAGTTGTTTTCTGTTTTCCTTTGACCTTCATCAAAGAGCATTGTAATACCAAGAAAGGCTTTCAATGATCTTTATTCCAGATATAGCCTTCCTTACCTCTGTTGTAAAACAGTAGACCAATCTACTCTAGTAGTCAGAGTCAATAACTACAGGCAGTGTAGTAACTCTTCTTTGCCTGTTGATCCTGAGGCATGAGGAGTTCTAAGTGACCCAGTGGCAGTCTTAACTAAGTGTCAGGAATCTTTTTTTTTTTCTTTTCTGGGTGGAAGCACTTCCCTCTTTGTAACTAAGATCTCTAGGTTAGCAGAGCATAAGGTTTCAGAAACAAAAAGCAATAATTTTTTAGTGGGTCACTAGGAATAATGGTGCTACTTCTATTTCTACTCTTCCTATCCTGGACCATGAGTTCTGGCAATGGGAGAAATAACTCATCTATGGACACTGATTTAGAGCATATACAGCCTTCTAAAGAACCTTGTTCCCTCTTGTGAGATATTATCACCTCACTGGCACTATAACTGAGCTTTCAGAAAACTCTTCTACTGTTTTATCAAACCAGTCATCTCAGAATAGTGGGAAACATGGTAAGACCAGGGAAATCTATGAGCATGGGCCCAATGCATCACTTCATTTGCCATGAAATGAGGTTTTCTTGTTTGTTTGTTTGTTTGTTTGTTTTGTTTTTTTATTAGAAGCAGTGTTATGTGGAATACCATGATGGTGATAAGGTATTTGGTAAGTGCATGGATAGTAGTTTTGACAGAAGCAGTGCATGCACAGAAGGCAAATCATATCCAGAGTAATTTTCTATTTTATTAAAAACAAAATGATGCCCCTTCTGTGATGACAATGTTTCAAGTAACCAATCTGCCACCAGGTAGCTAGCTGGCTGATCACCCTGGGGAATGGTGCCATATTTGGAGCCAGGTCTATCTACAAACTTCTTTCCCAAATTTCCAATTTATATCCTTTTCAAGTCTGAGATCATCCAGTCAAACCATTGGCTACAGAAACAGCCCATGAATCCATATATGATTGCCCTTTTGGCCATTTCTTCTTCCAAGCGCAGGGAACAACCTGGCCTAAGTCTTCTTTCCTTTTCATGTCATCCTAGGGAACTCCTTATGAAGCCATAGATGCAGGCTCAAAGAGAGAAGACAGTGTGGCAGAAGTGGCAACCATGGGCATTTGGGCCACTTTATGTAACTTACTTGTGCCTTCAGGGCCTTCTCAAGCCCAATCACATACATAAAATTTCCATTTGATGATGAAGTGCTGCTATGTAAGGTACAATGTTGTGACTTGGTGGGTTAATAACATCTAATTCATTATGGGAAACTCAGGTCACATGGTTGAATTATCACCCATGTGAAAATTCAGTTCCGACTAAGGTCCAGTAACATACCAACAGCTGTTTCTCAAAAGGAGCATAGTTAGCCACAGCGGATGGCAAGATTTTGTTCCTAAGGGCCTGTACTATGATTTACCTATAGGAACCTATCAAAGGCTCCAAACAGAATGCCTGTCACTGCCGTTTTGAGCACCATTGGATCTACTGGATCATACAACCCAAGGGACAGAGTAGCTTGCACAGCAATCTGGACCTCCCCTAAAACCCTCCCTTATTATGGGTCCCACTCAAACTAGCAGCTTTTCAGATCACTAGGTAAATGGGAATACCCAAATAAAGAATATTTTAGCTCTAAAATCTAAAGAGGCCACTAGGTATTGTCTCTCTCTCTCTCTCTCTCTCTCTCCTTTTTTTTTGGCTGTAGGAGGAACCAGATGCAGCAACTTATCCTTCAACTCAGAAATGATATCTTGACAGGACCTATGGACCCCTAGAAATGTTACTGAGTTAGAAGTCCCCTGATTTTCTGTTGGATTTATACCCTCTGATATGTAAATGTCTTACCAATTGGTCCAGAGTAGTTGCTACTTCTTGCTCACTTGGTCTAATTAACATAATGTTATCAGTGTAATGAACCAGCATGATATCTTATAGAAAGTAAAGGTAATAAAGATCCCTGTGAACCAAATTATGACAATGGCCTGAAGAATTTTTATAACCCTGAGGTAAAACAGAAAAAGTATACTTCTGGTAGTGCCAGCTGAAAACAAACTACTTCTGGTGGTCCTTATGAATAAGAATGAAGAAAACAGTTTGCTAGATCAATAGCTGTATACTAGGGACAAGGAGATGTGCTAATTTGCTCAAGCAATAAAGCTACATCTTGTACAGCAGCTGCAATTGGGATTACCACCTGGTTAAGATTTTGATAATCCACTGTCATTCTCCAAGATCCATCTGTCTTCTGCACAGATCAAATAGAGGAGTTGAATTGAGATAAGATGGAAATCACCACCCCTGCATTTTTCAATTCTTCATGATAGAACTAACCTCTGCAATCTTTTTATAAATACTATATTGCTTTTGGTTTACAGTTTTCCTGGTTAGAGATAGTTCTAGTGGCTTCCACTTGTCCTGTTCTACCATAACAATCTTCACTCCACAAGTCAGCTGCTGAGTATGTATATTCCTATTGTGCATTCCAGAACTGGGGAAGTAACCACAGGGTGTGTCTGGGGACTCACTGGGCCCCTTGTGATTTGAACCTGTGTAAAAACTCCACTGCTCACCTGACCTCCATAAGCCCCAGTTCTAACTGGTAGACACCAGTGATGTTTTATGTCTCCTGAAGTTAGTATGGGTTCAGGGACAGTGTCCAGTAGTCCTTAAAAGGTCTGATTGTTGCGGGAAACTGAGGACAGGAGAGACCAATATGGAGAACAGGAGGATTGTTTATTTTAGGTACGCACTGGCTCAGTGGATTCGCATACAAAAAGCTGAACCTTGAACAAAGACAGAGTGGGGTTTTTATAAGCAGACCTACAGAAGCAAAACAAAAGCAGTTAATCATACGGTGATATGTCACGTAACGTATAGCATAACATAACTTGTGGCCTTGCATAGCTGGTGACCTTGTAGCTGCATTGCAAGGAAAACAAGAACTGGCTAAATACAGACATTTGTAAAACATAATCATGCTTAAGAAACCAGGGAAATAATTTGTCTTTCTCTTTTTTTCCCCTTCAAACTTGCTCTGGATTGGGGGTGTCTGGAGCCCATTTCTTTGGCCTTGCCTTTCCGGAGAGTGTTACCTTATAATTGTCCTTGAAGTGAGCTTGCTAGGTAGAGTAAAGTTTGTTCTTTTCTTTGTAACCCTTGCCTTGCCTGTTACTTTCCTTAGAGTGAATGAATGCATATTTATTTTTAAGTTTCTATCTCATGATTGTTTCCCTTCCCTTAATGCAGAGTTACACTGGTAAAAGGCTGTGGAGTCACTTGTGGAATGCTGGTGGAAAGACTAACAGTCCAGTAGTCCCCACTTATCTGTAGTTTCACTTTCCATGGTTTCAGTTACCTGTGGTAACTGTATAGTCAAAGTAGTTGACTACTGTCCAAAATATTAAATGGAAAATTCCAGAAATAAACCATTCAGATATTTTAAATTATGTGCCATTAGGAGTAGCATGATGAAATCTCACATCATCTTTCTCCCTCCCTCTTATGACATGAATCTTTTTTTATCCAGTGTATCACATATTATTCAATTAGCCATCCTGATTATTAAATTGACTGTTACGGTTATTGCAGTGTTTATGTTCAAGTAACGTTTACATTACTTAATAAAGGCCCCAAAATGCAAGAGCACTGTGACTAATTTATAAATTAAACTTGATCGCACACATGCTTATGGTAGGCCCTATCATCCTAATCTTAATCTTATTCATCTGTGGGAGATTAAGGCCGCTCATGCCAATATATTTATGCATAAAGTTATTTTTAGATATGTTATACTTTTTAATGTCAAGATATTTTGAATGCTGATTCTACTTATCCGTGAGAATGAGTTTTAAATTTGTTCAATATAACATTAATGTATTCATTACTGTGTTAAGAATGACATTTATATATATGTAATAATTATAATACATGAATGGATTAATGTATATCCTAATAGTTCTGTTTCCATAACTAATACAGATTTTGATACTGAGAATGGTTCAAAAGGAAGAGATTTTTAAAGATGAGTTTGTTCAGAAATGGTTCTGGGGTTTTTGGAATTGACTCTGGAACATGATTAGATTTAGATTCTGATTGATGCAGAATGGCTGGGCTCCTGGCTAAACTCTACCCTCAAACCTGGAATCTTGGCCCTAAGTCACTCTTTAGTGAGCTGTTAACTCTTAGCCATCCATGGACTGCAGGCTGAATGAAATGAGCCCCTTCGGTTCCTGCTCATGAAGGGACAAGGTCAAGGTCAAGGGGGTCAAAGTCAAGGGAACACTCTCCTCTCATAATGACACTATTTTCAGCAGTTCAAAGAGCACTGATTGCCCATGGAATGATCTGGCAATAGAGATAAATAAATAGTCACCATTGGGTACTCCTAACCAACCACTTATAAGAAGCAAAGATCTCAGTGACTGAGTATATGATACTTTTGAATATTTGTCTCAAATTTAGAAATATAAAGTAATTGGCTGATTTTTCCTAATGTTGCTAGACAGACTGGGAAAAGAAAAGGATGAGCTCAGGAATTTGAATTACCAGTTTAAGCGCATGTACACAATCTGAAAGCTGTATGTATGCTGAGAACTTTACCTCCTGTAGACATAGGACTAAGAATGCTGAAAATCAAATTCAGGATTTTCTCCTTCAACTGGCTGAAGGTAGAGCTCATGGTCTCTGTGATGGTGAATTTTATGTTTTGACTGGTGCTGGGTGCAGTGGCTCACGCCTGCAATTCCAGCACTTTGGGAGGCTGAGGCAGGTGGATCGCTTGACGTCAGGAGTTCAAGACTAGCCTGGCCAACGTGGTGAAATGCAGTCTCTACTAAAAATACAAAAAATTAGCTGGATGTGGTAGTGCACTCCTGTAATCCCAGCTATGAGGGAGATTGAGGCAGGAGAATTTCTTGAACCCAGGGGGCATAGGATGTAGTGAGCCGAGATCATACCACTGTACTACAGCCTGAGTGACAGAGCAAGACTCCAACTAAAAAAATAAAAAATAATAAAAAAAATTAAAAACTTGACTGGGCCACTGGATTCCCAGATAGCTGGTTAAACATTATTTCTGGGTATGTCTTTAAGGATGTTTCTGGAAGAGATTAGCATTTGAATTGGTGGGCTGAGTAAAGCATGTGGCCCTCCCCAGTGTGGTTGGGCACCATCCAATTTGTTGAGAGCTTGAATAGAATAAAAAGTTGGAGGAAAGTTGAATTTGCCCTCTTCCCTACTGTGTGAGCTGAGACATCGATCTTTTGCCATGAGTGCTTCTGGTTCTCATGCCTTCATACCCAGACTGGAACCATCATTGACTCTCTGGGTCTCAGAACTTCAAATTATGCCACCAACTTTTCTGGGTCTCCAATTGGCAGACAGCAGATTGTGGAATTTCTCAACTTCCAGCTTCCTGTGAGCCAATTTCTTATAATAAATCTTCATATATATATATATATATATATATAATCTATTGATTCTGTTTCTCTGGAGAATCCTAAAACAGATTTTGGTATCGAGACGGTGGGATGTTGTTATGATAAGTACCTAAAAATGTGAAAGCAATTTTAGAACTGGATAATGGATAGAAGCTGAAAGAAGTATATGCTAGAAGAAGCTAAGACTCTTGTGAAGAGACTTTTAAAGACAATTCTGGTGAGGGCTCAGAAAGAGAAGAGAGGTAGAGAAAGTTTCTGTTTTCTTAAATAATACATAAATCATATATAGAACACTGCATTATGGCTGCCATTATGGTCTCAGGTGAAAACGAGAAACATGTTATTGGACAATGGAGCAGAAGTGATCTGTGTTATAAACTAGCAAAGAACTTTGCTGAATTTTATTTATGTTCTAGTTGTTTTGTGGAAGGTAGGGGTTGCAATCAATAAAATTAATATTTAATTGAAGAAACTTCTCAGCAAAATGTTGAAGAAGTGCTTGCTTCTTTCTGACTTTTCATAGTAAAATGTGTGATGAGATAAATGACTTGAAGACCAAATTATTAAGAAAAAAAGAACTAGAAATTAAATATTGAGAAAATTCTCAGCCTATCCATATCACAAAAAAAATGAGAAAGTGTGTTAAGCGAGAACAGTTAGGATGTATTTTGTGTTGGTGTTGGGGACTTCACGTTGCTTTCAACAGTACAAATGGCCTTCACTCAAAACCATGAGCAGAGGGGCTGCCCCAAACTGTGAGGGTAGGGCCACCCAAAGCAATAAAGATGTAACTCCTGATCCAATAATTCTGGAAGGCAGGACACCTACCCCAGTGGAATCAGAAGGAAGAGCATCTAGCCAAAGAGAATTATCCTTGAGCCTTAAGATCACCTGGAGTTTCCTTGCTAGGTTTTGAACTTGCTTGAGACCCATCACCCCTTCCTTCTTTCCTATTTCTCCCTTTTGGAATGAGAATGTTTATCTTATGCCTGTCCTACTATTGTAGCTTGGATGCACACAATTTGTTTGGTTTCAAAAATTCACAGCTGGAGAGGAATTTTGCCTCAGGATGAATTGGCTTTCAAGTTGCACCTATATCTAATTTAGATGATATTTAGGTAAGACTTTGCATTTTAAACTTTAGAGGTGATGCTAGTGTAAGTTAACTTTTGGGGCTGTTAAGTTGAATATATTTTGCATGTGAGAATGACATGAATTTGGGGGGAAGAATAGAAAGTTATGAATTGAATATTTCTTTCCCTCTAACCCACAATGTAAGGATATTTGGAGGTAGGGTCTCTGGGAGGTAATTAGGTCATGAAGACTCCACCCTCATGATTAGCATTGTACTTGTAAGAAGAGGTCAGAGACTAGCTTGCCCTCGGTCTGCCATGTGAAGATGCACGAGAAGTGAGCAGTCTGAAACTTGGAAGAGGAAGAGGACCCTCACCAGATCCCCACCATCCTGGCACCCTCATCTCAATTTTCCAGTGTCTAGAACTGTGAGAAATAATTTCTGTTGTGTATAGGCCACCTAGTATATGGTACTTTGTTATAGCAGGCTGAATTAAGACAGTCTCCATGAGTGCCATAACTCAGATTCTGTAGCTTTACAGATAGGAATCACATCTAACCCACATATCACAGCAGCTGCTGTAGCAGAAACTCAGAACTACCAAGTCTTATAAGACTCAGGGCTGGATGTCACAAGTTCTTTACTGCTTGTTTCAGGAAATACCTACACATGACACTTGTCTGGAGATGACATCCCCCTTATACAATTGCCTCCACAGGTTGCTCCCTTTTAAATCCAGTTCTCTCACTGTGATATCTAGAATCTGAGTCACACACATATACCTAAACTCCAAGATAATCTAGACATGCTTGTTTGTTTCTTTGTTTGTTTGAACTTATGCTTTGGGAAGTGGGACACACAATGTGGGTGATTATGAAATATAGGGAATATGTTCAAAGACATGAAGGACAAAGATTGACTAGAAACTATATTTGAATTATTGAGCAGGATTTGGTTGTCATTTTAAGAGCTGATACTGACAAACAGAGCCTAGAGTCAAGAAAAAATGATCAGGGTGATGACAAGGCTGAATAATGACTATTATTAGGCTTAGATTGGAGATAATATTTGCCTTCATTTTTTTATTCTTTAAATATTTGTAATATGAGAAATTAAGGTATCAATTATAAATTTTGAAAAGAAAATTATAATAAAATTTACTGATTTGACTGCATTTTTGAAAGTTTTACAATCATTAAAGCTAACCATTAGTAGGATATTAGAAATGTAAAATAAAATTATATCAAGAGATCTTAGCATCTTTTTTTTAAAAAAAAACTTATGTTGAAATACCACGTTATGTTACAAAAAACAATTCCTCTTGCGTTTAGTTCTAGCAGTTTTTCTTTCCAGATAAAACGATGATGTTCTTCTTTCTAGAGAATGAGAATGATACAATCCCTTACATTTCCAATTTCGATATAGTTGCTAAAAAGTTCAAAGTTAAATGTTTCTTTCCAAGCTCAGTAACTGTTCTAACTTGGTTGCAATGCTTTCATAACCATTTCTATTATTCTCCCTATCTTCAGGGAATTGCTCTTGTGATCTCTATTTTTATCAATGACTTTATTTGCATTAATGTTTGATTGTATGTTTTCTCAAATATATTTTATGGAGTAGGGAAAAAGGGAGGATGTAAATTATATCTAAACATCATAACTATTGTTTACTTATATTACTTATAAAACTAAGTATGATATTGAAATACATAATATTCATGATCTTTTCAAATCTATAATTTATCCTTTTTATCATATGATCTACAACCAAAACCATGGGTTACCTAGTAAAGTTTATCTCTTTAATAATTTGGTAGGTGGAAATCAAATATCTTAAATTGCTGAATCAATTTTAATGATAGATTTGTAATCTATTTCACATACATATTTGCAATGATTCTTTCATGATTATTGCTAAACACCAGTGTGTGTTTCATAGGTATTGTTTCAAGTGTAACTGATTAATTATTCATTGCATATCCACAGCATAACAGCATTTTTACATTGTGAATATGCAAATCATTTCTGAATATAATTGCCTATTACATTAGCAATTATCCTGTGCATAATAAGACACAAGTATGTTTTCTTTATATGCTTTTGTGTGTGTGTGTGTGGGTGTGTGTGTGTTTAGAGGGGAGAGATAGTGAGACACACATTTTCTAAGGTTAATTTCAATATGGCCAATTTTTGAAGAGGTATAGGTTTAAGAAGAGATCCATCTTGGTTTTTTGAAGAAATTGGATAGAAAAATTTAAAATATTTCATACTTTGCAGGAAACAGATTTCCATTTGCTTGTTTGTTTGTTTGTTTGTTTGAATTTTAAAGTTTTGGTATTTTGATTCTCATATGTTTACCTGGAATTTAGCTGGTTGCATGATAGTTACCAATCGGAATTGTTACGAACCTGTGTTCTCGCTTATACACTGCTGAGGGTAACATCTGTACACGTATCCCCTAAACCTAAGGACAGAAAAATACATACATAAGTAAAATATAAGAGAGGTATTAAAAAGAACATATAAACATATGTTATTGTGCTTCATCCGATAAATTATGATTCATCAGATCTAGGGTGAAACCCCATGGAAAACACTGGTTGGACTTCTGTGTAACACTCCTGCAGGCAATGTACTATGACGAATTAAATATCTTATAAAGACTGTGCCTCTCAAGTTGAGGCAGACTATGATCGATTTTTTTGTCAAGTGATGGTCTCACAGTACCCTTTCTTTTTCATGCGATTAGTCATTTTCCCAACTATAGAATTATTATATATCAGTGGAACGTTATTACAGTCTAGAAAATCTGAAAAGAAAATTGCAGAATTAATATCAAGAAAAATATTATATAACTGAGAAATATTTTACCCAATCATAATTGAAAATTGGAGCTTTTTTATAGCCTTGCATAAAGCACCAGGAGTCCGTATTTTCAAATCTCTTCAGGATCACACATGCTTCTGAAAAGCCGAGGTACTTGTCTGCTTGAGAGACATGTACAGAAAAATTCTGGAAGAAGCAAGACTTGTGAACCAAAAATAGGGCTTAATTCAAATTTTTTACATGTGTGATCTCTCTCTCTCTCTCTCTCTATATATATATATGTCAAGGTATGTGTGTGTGTGCATATATATATATATATCAATGTTTGTGTATATATATGTCTCAAGATGTATATATATATATATATATATGCACACACATTAAGATGTGTATTTATAACAACTATAAATGTTAATTTAAAATTTTCAGTTTTTTTTATTAAACAGATATTGTAGAGTAGCTTAAGTAGAAATTAACACTGAAAATTTTTTATATGTTCTTTCTTGCTTTGAGCTCATGATACTAATGAACTAGTTTTTAATATTTTAACACAGTATTGTAAAAAACCTGGCAGAGATACAACAAAAAAATAAAATTTCAGGCCAATATCCCTGATGAACATTGATGCAAAAATCCTCAATAAAATACTGGCAAACCGAATCCTGCAGCACATCAAAAGGCTTATGCACCACGATCAATTTACATAAAGCATTTTTGTGGATTTAAAATTTTATTTTTAAATTTCATTCATTCATCCATTCATTCATTCATTCATTCATGCATGCATGCAACAAATCTTTGTAAAGTAGCTTTTAGGTGCCATGCATCAAAGTGAAAGAAAATAATGGTGAAAAAAGTATATGGAGTTCCGCCTTCATAGATTTATAGTCTTATATGTAAGAGTCAAACCTCTTTCACTGTTTCAGAATCAATTTCTATTCTATCAATATTATCATTCTCTAACCAGTCCTTAAAGTCTGTATGGTCCCCTAGCTGACTGACAGGAAAGTAAATATAGGTTCTACAGGTGTTGCAATAACTAGAATGAATAGTAAAGAATATCATAATCTTAAGTTGATTGAACAGTTATACCAATTATCTGAAGGATTATCTGGTACACTGCAAAATAAAATATAAAAATTCTCTCTATATTATCAACTTGGATATAGTAAAATCAAGAATGAGATATGGAAGGATAATACTGTATTTCTTACTTACAAGGCAAACATATTTTTTTCTTAAATGTTAATTTTTTTATTCTCTGATGGCCTAAAGAAATAGATGAAAAAATTTTAGATGTGTACTCAAAATTAGAAACTACAAAATATTATCAAATTCTGTATTTCATTTAAACCTCAAAACACCCAGTAAGTTAAGGTGAGTGCTGTTACCTTCATTTTACAGATTAGAAAATAGAATCCTAGGTTAAATGGCTTAAGTTTGCATAGCTAAAAAATAAGAGCATTTTCTGAAATCCACAGCCTATGTTCTTCCCACATATCCTTACTCTGTAAGTTACATTTGATATATTCTTCAAAAGCAGGGTCAAAATTCACTTCCCCACAAAGTCATCCTGTTTTCTGAGTAGTTCTATATCATTTAATCTTCATTTATTCCACCTAACTTTCAAACATATAATTTCTTTTGCACTTTAAACAATTGGAAGTGGGGTATTTTAAACAATACTCTATACACATTGTTATTTTGTTTAGCTCACTACATTAAGCATACCATATTAAGAAAATATAATAATAGACATATTCACATGTTCCAGGTCCAGTCAGCAAACATCTACTCACTTCTCTTAGGAATCACGTTCAGAGTTGTAGAAAAGTCACAGAATAGCAAACCATAGTCCCTGCTTTAAATACCTTATCCCCTAATAGTGACACAATCCATAAATACAAATAATAATTCAAGACCAAATAAGGTAAAAGAACTACAGATAAGGTTCTATGCGATAACAAAGGAAAAACAAATTACTTTCTTTAGAGATTTCTTTTTCCAACTTTTATTTTGGATCCTGAGGGTACGTGTGTAGGTTTGTTACCTAGGGTATAGGGCATGATACTGAAGTTTGGGTACAAAAGATCTCATTACCCAGGTATTAAGCTTAGCACCCAATAATTAGTTTTTCAACCCTTGCCTCTCTCCCTCTGCCCTGCAACTAATAGTCTCCAATTTCTGTTGTTGCCCATGTGTACTTAAATTTTATATGGAGTAGGCTACTTATGTTTTAAAATCTTTCTGAACTTTTCTAGAGGGTAAAAATCAATGCAATCTGTATTGCATTGTATACTAATGCAATAGAATATTGTTTATAAATAATATCAAAATAAATTATTTTAGATAAAATAAATAGAATAAGATATATCTACACAGATATATCTATGATAATGTAAGTAAAAATCATTCCAAATATTTTTACTTTAGAATGTTGTGAGAATATTTTAATTTTTTTATATTTAGTAATTATGAGCAAAATTACATCAATAAGTTCAGTAAATAGTCTTTCATTGTTATCAATATGATACCTTTAAACAGTGAAAGAGATTCATTATATGTGAGACAAGAGAAAAATAAACAACCAGTAACCTAAAGGAAACCAGCAAAGCATACCTTTTTATTAAATCACTTTTATTTATTTTCTATTTTTCTTTTGATTTCACTAACAACAACTAAACAGTCTTCTCAAAATAAAATGGCCGAAAGTACCCAAATTTGCAATACAATTTTGATTATTTAAGGAGAGACAAAGAAGTACTTCTATTCTGAGGTGTACTTATTTTCTAAACTTTTGGTGTTTTAAGTGAATGTCTTACGTGCATCAAAATTCTGGCTATTTTTAAAAATCCAGTCTCATTCTCTGCATGTTTAAAAGTAATGAAAACAATTTGCAATGAAATGTAGTTACAATTTTGAAAACAAAGAATAACTTGGGTATTTAACAGAAGAAATGTTAATTAGCACTTATTAGTACACTTTTCCTACAAAGGAGAAATAAATATTTGAATGTTAGAATTTTTGGTAACACTTTCCTTTGTTCGCTGGTAAATAACTTTAAATTGGTTCAAAAAGTGCCTTGCTAGGTATAACAACTGGAAAGACATATCATTGGTTACCAGAAATGCAGGTTGATTAATTTTTTTAAATAGAACATTCCAAATAATTTACTGCAGAGATATTATTTCAAAAGAAAGAAAGAAAATTTAAATGTCTAATTTGCCTAACTCCTCTACTTTTTTCTCAGTACTGTCTTCCTCCACTATTAACCATCATGACTGGCTTTTTTCCTATTCTCTTGACTTCTTTTCTGTGTTTTTTTCTACTTCCTTGTTTTTTATTGAGAGACAGGGTCTTACTGTGTTGCCCACGCTGGAGTTCAGTGACTATTTCCAGGTGCAATTATAGCACCTTAAAGTTTTGAACTCCTGGGCTCAAGTGACCGTCCTGCCTCTGCCTATCAAGTAACTGACAAGCGCAAGCTACCACAATTGTTTTTTATTTAATTTTAAATTACACACACACACACACACACACACACACACACACACAGCTTTGCCTTGTTTTTGCTTTTTAGGTTGAAGTTCTATGCCTTATTTGTAAATCAGCTACTTGCTACCCTTATAGAAAACATATTTTTATTGTTCCAATATTCATGAAAATAATAAATTACTTTTGATTCCTCAAACATTAATTATAATACAAATTCATCAGCCTGTTTTAAAACTGACTTTTAATTTTTAGTTTTTATTAATTTTCTGGAATTTTGGAAGAGCTATTTCTTTATGTAAAGGGTAATAACACTTTATCATATTACTTTACTGAATTTTGGTGAGGATTTCAGGTATTTTACACTTATATGATCAACACTCTCCATATTTAACTTCTGATTTCTTACATTGTCTGTTTATTTTTGAGAAAGGGTCTCGCTCTGTCACCCCGGCTGGAGTACATTGGCACGATCATAGCTCACTGCAGCCTCAACCTCCTGGGCTCAGGTGATCATCCCACTTCAGCCTTCTGAGTAGCTGGGACTACAAGTGCACCCCACCATGACCAGCTAATTTTTGTGTTTTTTATAGAGGTGGGGTTTTGCCATGTTCCTCAGGCTGGTCTGGAACTCCTGGGTTCATGTGATTCACCTACCTCAGCCTCCCAAAGGGCTGGGATTATAGGCGTTTGTCACTGTAACCTGCTTCTTGCATTGTTTACAATTCGCTGTCATCCAAAACTAAGTTATCTCCTTTTTATATGTTTTGATTGTTTACATTAATAACCATTTCTACTTCATAACAGACCCGAGTTATACAATGGACTTGGAAAAATATAATATCAATGACGGATCCAATGGCTTTATGATTATAAGCAAGATGATCTATATGATGGACAGTTACTGAATAGAGTCCACCAATTATCCTCTTAATATGGGTGTCCCCTTAAAATCTTTTAAAGGTATTCTTTAAATATAGAGATACCTACATGAGCTTTAAATGAACCTAACTAGTGCATCTCAAACACACAATGTGTACTTTAAATAAATTGGGTGTCTGGTGTTTTGCCCATGGTTGAAAAACTAATACATAAATGTGTTATTGTTGTTCTTATTGTATCATATCATAATATATATCATTTCATATCATATTATATCATTAAAGAAATTATATCTTCCATCATATATATGATGAAGTACAGAAATTTAACCCTGAGACTTATGGGAATGCAAAAATCACTCTTGTAGTTACCCAGTGATAATTACATCTCATGCATTCTAGCTCTCGAGTAACAAAATGTCATTTTCTAAGTGAATGAGTTAACGTGTTTCTGGGCTGGGCAGGTCACTGAATGTTATTCTCAGTAGACGATTCATTATATTGAGTAATACATTTCTTATTCAATTATACATTAAGTCTTTTGTCTTCCAATCATCACATTTGATTAAGTATGTGCTTAGTCCTGTATGACATGTAATGTATTGAGAAAAATATTTATGATTAAATTGATTATGACCAATAGTACCAAGATTCTTTAGTAAGAAGTAACACAAATATCACTGGCTAATTGAATCAAAGGTATGTTACTGGAAAGATATAATGAGTTCTCAGAATTAACAGAAGGCTAGCTAGGAAAAAGCACCTGGGAGCTATTTAGAACTAAATCAGGTGCAGAGATTTAGGGATGGGATACAGGATAAATCTCAACATGATCAGTGTACTTTTCTCTTTTGATCTCTGATAAGAATTATATTCTAAGGAGGGAAGATTTGATTGAATAGTTTGATCCACTGGCCTAAGAGGAACGTGTCCATAAATATAATGTTAGTAGACCTTGTTCAATTGGAAAAGCAAATTCTTCAAATAATATCGTGGTGCTTTCAGAACAGCTATAGACTGTTTCATAGACAGAAAACAGTAAACATTTTTGTATGCTGGTAAAACAACTCTATTTAATGAGCAAATAAAGTTAACTATTGAAAGGATTAAAGAAAAAATACAGTTAAAATTTTCCAAGTGGAAAAATTTTGACATACCACTTATGATTGAAGAAACAAAGCAGTATAGATTTAGAATAAGAAAACTTAGGCTCAAGCCATGACCTTAAAATTTTTAACAATTTGATCATAGACAAATGACAATCTTCTTATTTTTTATCTATACATAGTTGCTTTATCTGTTTTATATTATTAAGTGAATACCAAATAAATCAGTGTGTGAGAATAACACTTTGTTAATCATTATGCAAACCATAATTGAGTTTACTATTGCTTGGAACATGTCAGTCTTTTATTAAACACAAGCAACTTAAGAGTTTTCTTGATATTTGCTGCTTAACAACAGAGGAGTGGTAAACACATGCACACCAGACAGATATGGATTTTTCCTTATTTTCTGCTCACTTTGTATATATTTGGATGAGATGTAAAAATTATATCAGACATATATATGTTTGTGTGTGTATATATATATTCATGTGAATGTAAATATATATGTATAAATATACATATTATATATGTCCTTTCAAAATGCAGTTTAAAAAATAACCATTGATTAAACTTTTTTCTTGATTCCACACTGTGACAATCAGTATTGTGTGAGATAATCCAACAGAACCTGAGTGACATAGATAACATTCTCTGCTCTTAAAATGTTCGTAATGCATTCTGAAATGTTCTTATTCTCCACTCTTTAAAGATCAGTGAAGTGCAAAGTTCCCCCAAGTAAAGTCGCTCCAAACAATGATGATAGTACTTAGTAACTCTGAGACCTAGATTAAGTAAAAGCTTTTAGGTTTTAGACAAGAAAATAGTAAATAGAAGTGTAATATTTGGAAAATGGATTAATAGAGTCAAAGAACAAATAATTCATCTTGATAGAATAAAGGTAGTGATCTCTTTCTAATAAGTTCTTATAGGAAAATAATTCTCTACAAGCCATGTTTCAGTTTTCTCTTTTATTATTTTTGTCCTCGTGTTTTTTTGTGCTTTTTTACCCATTGTTCTTAAAAGTGTATTTAGAGCACATACAACATAAAAGGGCCATATTGGATATTGTGTGACATATAAGTAATCTTAAATGTGTATTTCAATCTTAAACGTGTATTTCACAGTTTATAAATTTATAATATATTGAATAGGCAAAATATGAAAATAATTGATGGATTAAAAAATAAACACTACAAGAGGCAGTGATAATGTAATATAATTCAAACAAAGACAATTTTAATGAGAGAAGAAAAGCTTTATGGAAAAAGTGGCATTGTGGTGGGTACTTGAAACATTGATAAACCATAGAAACAATAAGATGTTTCTAGGAAATAATAATAAGAAAAAGATAGGTCAGAGAAATGAAACAACAGAAATAAAAGCCTTTGTGTGGTAAAGTAGAGCAGGCATCTGCAGGCAGGTCTTTGAAATTGAGTGATATGGTTAAGCTTTGTCTCCCCACACAAATCTCATCTTGAATTATAATTCTTATAATTCCCACATGTCAAGGGAGAGACCAGGTGGAGGTAATTGCATCATAAAGACAGTTTCCCCCATGCTGTTCTGATAGTGAGTGAGTTCTCACGAGATGTGATGGTTTTATAAGGGGCTCTTCCCCCTTCACTAGGCACGTCTCCTTTTGGCTGCCTTGAGAAGAAGCTTGCTTGCTTCCCCTTCGCCTTCCACCAAGATTTTAAGTTTCCTGAGGCCTCCTCAGCCATGCTGAACTGTGAGTCAATTAAACCTCTTTACTTTACAAATTACCCGGTCTCAGGCCGTTCTTTATAGCAGTATGAAAATGGACTAATATATTGCGTAAATTAAAGAGATTCTACTCTCCAACCACTTCACTTTACAGATGAGAAATTGAGAGAGATTGCATGAGCTGTCCAAAGACAGTTTCTACTCCAGGCAGAACTGGAGTGTCACTATGTATCCTGGGTCTTAGTCATTTTTCATTATTCTGTACTTTTGGTTGAATTTTCAAGCACATGAAAATTAGGAGTACATTCCCACTAGTATCAGATAGAAATTGAAAGATATGTCGAGTTAGGTCTTAAATTCCATGTGAAGATTTATCATTTTTACTGATCAGTCCTATGGAGCCAAAGAAGATTTTGAAAAACAAACAAACAAAACAAACCAATAATCTTGGCTTTGTGTATAATTTTCTAAACAGATAAATTTTTCATCTGAAATACAACATTTCATCTATTTAATGTTGTAATTCTTAAGTGGCAATTTTACTATCTAAATTTGCATTCAAGTATAAAAACACATCAACCATTTTTTTTAAATTTATTCAATGTCTCTCTCAGGATAGGATATGTTATACTGTGGTGCACAAAGACAAAATCTTAGAAGATTAACACCGAAGACATTTGGTTCTGGGTTACAGAAAATTTGCTGCAAAACTGCAGGAATCTCTGAAGCAGTTTTTTTCCCTACCTAATGACTCACTCTGTATTTCCAGCTGTTTCAGTTTATTGCAACTTCATTTGTTACCACCAGGAGGGAAGAAGAGGACATGGGTGGAGCAATGACTCTTTAATGCTTCTATCCTGAAATGACCAACACCAGTTCCTTTCACTTTTCATTGACCAAAGTCTCAACTTACTTCAATAGGTATATGTATAAAGGAAGAGACACAAGACCTCAGTAATGTCTACCATCTAGGATTTGTCATTTTAAATCTTTATGAAAATATTTAAATTTCTGTAATCATTCTTAATCATCTTGCGTAGATCTGGAAATTATCAGATATTCAGAAGTAACAAAAGTTTATTTATTTTTTCTTCTGTACTCCCCTCCAGCTTGCATTTCCACATGCAGGGTTTTCCTACTTGTATCAATTTTTCTTTTTCCCCAAAATTTAAAAAATACTTTTATGGGAGATTTCACAATTATGTCATTTCACAAATGCTTTACCAATTTTAGTTAATTTCAAATGGTCAAAAACCAGAAAATTTTACTTTAACTTTCAGCCTTAAACATATGGTAGATTTGTGTTTTGAGAAACTCTGAGTATACATTCCATTGTATCTCCTGCAGTGGCATACCTGTTTGGATTCATTTATATTCCACCGCAAAATTTCTCTGTAGGTACTAGAACCAGACAATCTTGCTCTCATAATGTCTGATAGGAGTTTTATTAGTTTTTAACCAATGCAAGAAAGACATTTTCCTAACCTTTGAAATTATTTGTTGGTTGGATTACATAGCTCTCCCCCTTCCCCACAGCTTGTGACATATACTACATCAACTTTTAAAGGGAAACAGTTTTTCTCTTTTGAGATTAAACTACCATGCACGATAGAATATACAAATGTTAAATACGTCAATAATCAAAACTTCACAGGAATCCTGTATCCCACAATATACAATGCAGATTTTCTCAGAAGATTACCTATATCACAGGGAAATTGTGGAAATTTTGGATCAAATTACTTTGAATGGAAAGTGCTGCTTTCTCCTCTAATTCAACTCTTCTTCCCTTGCTTTGTCTATTGTCAGTGGATTTTTCCCCCCACTTTTAAATTCCAACAATTTTTTTTCTGTCACTAACTGGAAAATGATATCCATGTTAATATCTTCGCATTTTTAACCTAAAAGTTATTTAAAACTTTATTTAAATTTTTATGGGTATATATTAGATGTATATATTTACAGGGTACACGTAATGTTTTGACATAGGTATACAATTTGCAATAGTCACAACAGAGTAAAGGGAGTATCTGTTGTCTAAAACATTTATCATTTCTTTGTGTTAGGTACATTCCAATTCCACTTTTTTAGTTTTTATAAAATGTACAATAATTTCTTGTTGACTACAGTCACCTGATCATGCTATCAATACTAGATCTTTTTCATTTTAACTATATTTTTGAACTCATTAACCATCTTTACTTTTCTCCTTCCCTGCAACCCTTTCCAGCCTCTAGTAACCATCATTCTACTCACTATCTCCATGAATTCAATTGTTTTCATTTTTACCTCATACAGTAAGTGAGAACATGTGAAGTTTGTCTTCGCCAAGTCAGTCCTAAGCCAAAAGAACAAAGCTGGAGGTATCACACTACCTGACTTCAAACTATACTACAAGGCTACAGTAACCAAAACAGCATGGTACTGGTACCAAAACAGAGATATAGATCAATGGAACAGAACAGAGCCCTCAGAAATAACGCCGCTTACCTACAACTATCTGATCTTTGACAAACTTGAGAAAAACAAGCAATGGGGAAAGGATTCCCTATTTAATAAATGGTGCTGGGAAAACTGGCTAGCCATATGTAGAAAGCTGAAACTGGATCCCTTCCTTACACCTTATACAAAAATCAATTCAAGATGGATTAGAGACTTAAATGTTAGACCTAAAACCATAAAAACCCTAGAAGAAAACCTAGGCATTACCATTCAGGACATAGGCGTGGGCAAGGACTTCATGTCCAAAACACCAAAAGCAATGGCAACAAAAGCCAAAATTGACAAATGGGATCTAATTAAACTAAAGAGCTTCTGCACAGCAAAAGAAACTACCATCAGAGTGAACAGGCAACCTACAACATGGGAGAAAATTTTCACAACCTACTCATCTGACAAAGGGCTAATATCCAGAATCTACAATGAACTCAAACAAATTTACAAGAAAAAAACAAACAACCCCATCAAAAAGTGGGCGAAGGACATGAACAGACACTTCTCAAAAGAAGACATTTATGCGGCCAAAAAACACATGAAAAAATGCTCATCATCACTGGCCATCAGAGAAATGCAAATCAAAACCACTATGAGATATCATCTCACACCAGTTAGAATGGCAATCATTAAAAAGTCAGGAAACAACAGGTGCTGGAGAGGATGTGGAGAAATAGGAACACTTTTACACTGTTGATGGGACTGTAAACTAGTTCAACCATTGTGGAAGTCAGTGTGGCGATTCCTCAGGGATCTAGAACTAGAAATACCATTTGACCCAGCCATCCCATTACTGGGTATATACCCAAATGACTATAAATCATGCTGCTATAAAGACACATGCACACGTATGTTTATTGCGGCACTATTCACAATAGCAAAGACTTGGAACCAACCCAAATGTCCAACAATGATAGACTGGATTAAGAAAATGTGGCACATATACACCATGGAATACTATGCAGCCATAAAAAATGATGAGTTCATGTCCTTTGTAGGGACATGGATGAAATTGGAAACCATCATTCTCAGTAAACTATCGCAAGAACAAAAAACCAAACACCGCATATTCTCACTCATAGGTGGGAATTGAACAATGAGATCGCATGGACACAGGAAGGGGAATATCACACTCTGGGGACTGTGGTGGGGAGGGGGGAGGCGGGAGGGATAGCATTGGGAGATATACCTAATGCTAGATGACGAGTTAGTGGGTGCAGCACACCAGCATGGCACATGTATACATATGTAACTAACCTGCACAATGTGCACATGTACCCTAAAACTTTAATTAAAAAAAAAAAAGAAAAAAAAAAAGAAGTTTGTCTTTCTGTTCCTGGCTTATTTCATTTAACATTATGACCTCTAGTTTCATTCATGTTGTTGCCAATGATAGGACCGCATTCTTTTTTATGACTGAATAGTACTTCAGTGTGTATATGTGCCACCTTTTCTCTATCCACTCATCTGTTGATGGACATGCAGGTTGCTTCCAAATCTTGGTTATTGTCATTAGTGCTGCAAGCAGCACGGGAATGCAGATATCACTCTGATATATTGATTTTTTTCCTTTTAATATTTATCCAGCACAGGATTGCTGGATCATATGGTAGATTTATTTTTACTTTCTTGAGGAACTTGCAGATTGTTATCCACAGTGGCTGTACTAATTCATATTCCTCCTGAGAGTGCTTGTGGGTTACCCTTTCCTCACATCCTCATCAGCATTTGTTATTGCCTGTCTTTTGGATAAAAGCAATTTTAACTGAGGTGAGATAATATCTCATTGTGGTTTTGATTTACATTTCTCTGATGATGTTGAACATTTTTTATACACCTGTTGGCCATTTATATGTCTTGTTTTTAGAAATGTCTGTTCAGATCATCTGCCTAATTTTTAATTTGATTATTTGATTTTTTCCTGTTATTTGAGCTCCTTATATATTCTGGATATTAATTCCTTGTCAGATGGGTAGTTTGCAAATACTTTTTTCCATTCTGTGTATTGTTTCTTCACTTAGTTGATTGTTTCCTTTGCTGTACAGAAGCTTTTAGCTTGATATTATCCCACTTTTACATTTTGCTTTGGTTGCCTGGGCTTATGGGATAATACTCAATAAATCTTTGCCCAGACAATGTCCTGGAGTGTTTCCCCAATGTTTTATTTTAGTAGCTTTATGACTTAAGTTATTAATTTATTTTTATTTACTTTTTGATTATGGTGAGAGATGGGGATCTAGTTTCATTCTTCTGAAAATGGATGTCCAATTTTCCTAGCACCACTTATTGAAGATACTGTTCTTTCCCCAGTGTATATTTTTGGCATCTTTGTTGAAAATGAGTTTATTATAGATGTATGGATTTAATTCTGTGTTCTCTATTCTATTCCATTGGTCTATGTTTGTTTTTATGCCGGTACCATGCTATTTTGGTTACAATAGCTCTATAGCATAATTTGAAGTCAGGTAATGAGATATCTCCAGTTTTGTTCTTTTTGCTCAGGATGGCTTTGGCTATTCTGGGTCTTTTGTGCTTCCATAAAATTTTAGGATTATTTTTTCTCTTTCTGTGAAAAATATCACTGGTATTTGTATAAGGATTTCAATGGCAGTTATTTTGCTTGAACTAATTCAAGTGATATGTTTGAACATTATGAGCATGGTTTATTTAAAAATGTGTAAATTCATGTTTATTTTTCAAAAGTGAAAATGGAGCCATATTAATACTTTTATCAAAATGTTACTTTATGCTGTAAAAATGTGCTGTTTCCTTTTGTGTATCATTTTAAATTACCAGTGTCTTTGATTTCATATGAAAATAAATATTAGAAGAAACATTATTCCGCAAGGCACCAAACATCCACTTATTAACAGCCCTACATAACTTTCCACTATTTTGAACAGTAATAAATTGGGAAGCTCCTTAGAATATGAAAATCTATACTGAATTCCACATTTTACTATGGTCTTGTTTTAAAAGATGTGTAACCAAATTAATCTTTCCACAATAACTTTGGAATCTAACATTTGCAGTTCTGTGTCTATCAATTTTTTATTGTACTGAAATTTAGAAAGTTATTTATCATTCAAAATGCAGTAATTTTTCTTTTCATAATTAACATTCTATTCCATTCAAGTACAATTACCTCTTCCACTCCATCCTGTGTAAATTGAATTTCCTACTTGTTCTTACACTTTAACTAGGATCTTCTTCACTTTATTCAAAATGAAATAGAGTCGGAATATTAGTGGTCTTAGTAGATGTGTTTAACCATACCTGTTTTATCCCCCAAAATATCTCATCATTAAATCAATACACAAGCCAGTTGTTTTCTATGTGTGCACTGGTCTGTATATACATCAGGGTGTGTGGGTGCGGGAAGGGATTAGTTATAAAAGAGCAATACTCAACTGCTCAGGTGATTTGAAAAAGTTCTAAGAGATAAAAGTAAATCTGTGTATCAAAATAAATGCTATGTTATCTCGGCATATGTTTTAAAGACTTCTTTTAGCAAGCCTTCTTAGAAACTTTGAAGTTCTTAGGTGACTTTATAGATATGACTTTATAGATATAAAGCACTTTTAAGCTTCCTACCTTAAGATTTATTTTAAATCCTCTTAATATTTTCAATGAGATTAAGCTTTACTAAGAATTGAGTCTGATACAGTAGAATTTATATTGTATTGGGGGAAATGCCTGAAAAATCAGAAAAAGATAGGATATTAGAGTTTGACTAAGTCACTACGTAATAAAAAGAAAAAAGTTTCCATTTACAATGTGTACTCTTATATCCATGTATACTGTTTTGAAGTAGCACTCTATTAACTTTAACTTTCTATTGCTTGTATTTTTATGAATCTAGCTCAAATATAGCTATGGTCTACAGTGACTTCTATTTTGAAGACCTTTCTGAATCAATGCAAATTGCTTTTAGAGTAATTTCATTAAAATATTGTTTTTAGAATAATTTCAATGATGGATGTCATTCACAATAATATGTATATGACTTATAAAATATCTCAGTCTTATGCATTACATCAGAACACTGCATTTACAAATAATTCAAATATATAAAAATTACAGTATGTTAATATTTTTCTGCTAGGTCATAAAACAGTTAAAGGAAAATCACCTTGGATAAGTAGAGTATGATGACCTCAGTGGGCGTTTAATTTTATTTTCACATATTTCAATTTAACAAAAAGGCAGAAGCTACAACACAACATTCTTTTAAAACAAACACCAGGATAATTCATCTGGAATTAATGAAGAAGAATAAGAAAATTATTTCAAAGCCTTTCTGGCAGATTGGAATAGATTAGAGCCTAGATATATTATGTGGGAGTCCAACAGCAAGAGCTACAGTATAAATGTCTCAAGCTATATTATCCTTTTTGTCTTTAGCTTTCAGCAGCTTCCTTCTGATGTGTCTGAAGGGTTTTGTTTTGAATGTATAGATTTCACTGTATTTATTGAATCTATGGATTTATGTGTTTTAGCACAGTGGGGTCATATTCAGCCACAATTTCTTCAAGGTTTTTGTTTTGTTTGTTTCAGTACTGCATTCTTTCATCTCTTTTCTTGGTACAGGGATGTCTCAAATGCTAGAAATTTTATTGTCTAACAGGTCTGAGGCTCTCTTCACTTTTTTCACCAATTCTCTATTTAGATGGATAATCTTCATTGATCTGCTGTCAAGTTCACTGACTTTTCTTTTCTGTCATCTTCATTCTGAATTGAACCCACCCAATGAAAACTTTCACTTCAGTTATTTCAATTTTCAATTGTAAAATTTTCATTCAATTCTTCTTTATATATTTTATCTATTTGCTGAGACTTTGTATTTTTCCATTGACTTCAGTAGTGTTCTCAATTATTTACAAGGGCATTTAAAAATAGCTACTTTAAAGTGTTTGTCAGATAAATTCGACATTTAAACATGGGCATCTATTGATTGGCTTTTCCCATATCAGTTGATATTTTTCTGGTTCTTCATATGTTGAATAATTTTAGATTATACCCTAGGCATTTTAAATAATAAATATGAGACGCTGGATCTTATTTAAATCCTATTGAGGATATATGCATTTTATTTTAGCAAGCAGTTGATTTGTTTAGTTTCAGGTCACAAATTCCAATGTCTTCCCTGAGCCTTGTCTCCAATGTCCATTCTGTTTTCAAACCTTTGTTCTGTTTGTATTTGTATTTATCCTAAGTGTTTGCCATCAATGGTCAATCTGTGATGTGGTTGGTGGTCTATTACTATATTTTCTTTGTCTTTGGTATGCTGAATAAAATCAGATCCACATCTGTGCAACACAGGGGTGATTTAGGAGTTTATTAAAAATGTGATGGGGTCACTTTGCTTAGCTCCTCCCTCTGCCATCTCCCCTGTGCACTCCAGTTCCCTTTCCACTTAGACCTCTTGCCAGGAAGTTGGGGTTTAATACTCTGCTCTTCACTTCCATGACTGCATCCCCATCTGATGCAAGAAGCAAAAGAAAAGGCAATATAAAACAAAAACAATAGGAGTCGCCCCTACCCCCTGGAAAAATGACTGTAGCAAACAGAAAGGAAAGTTCCCCTCCCTCATAATTTTGACTACTATAAGCTTTTGTCACCATCGGCTATCACCACCAGCATGACGGAATTGCTTAAGGCTGGTACAAAGAAAAAGAGAGAAAAACAAAAACAACAAAAAAAGGGATGTGGCACAGGGAGGCTGGGATGGGGAAGGAATCTGGTATTCTCTTTAGGCATTGGGAGTCTCCTTTCCCACTCTTTGAGTCAGAACCAGAGTTCTCCCATCACTCTCTAACTCCATCTGTGGCCAGTTCTGAAGCGTTGCGTTCAGACTATGGATATTTGAGGGGAAAAAATGGTAAATTCACTGGCATTTGGGTCTTCTACCCATTTTACCTGCTACTGTTTGCTTGAGTCAGTCCTCATACAGCAGCTGCAGGCTTTCTATAGCTATATTCAGTGAGAAATAGTAGAGTGGAATGTCATTATTCCATCTTCCCTGGAATCAGAGTTGGTATATTGTTATCTTGACAACAGTGTCTCTATCTTGATTATATATTTCCCACAAATAAATAGATTTCATTTTTGTTGTTTTTTTTTGTTTGGAAATCCTAGGAACTTATAACATCTTCAAAAATATTGAAAATAATTTTTTCTCTATAATTAAAATTTTTATAGTTTGTAATAAATTGCTCAAAAATATACCACTATTTTATAGTTTATTTTACATACGTTGATCAAACATCAGTATTTTCTAGTGTAGTTTACTTTTCATAAATTTTGTAATTAATTTTATTTTATAAAATTGATGCTATTTGTTTATGCATTCATTTTTAATTTTTTTGTTGGAAGATAAATTTTGTCTTTATTTATTAAATATTCCTAATTATTTCCACTTGACACTACCTATATCTGGATTCTCAATGCTATAAAAGTGTACATTTGTCTATTCATACAAATTTTTGCTTGTTTAGATATGTGTTAAGGCCAGTGCTCTCCTGTTTTTTTTTTTTTTTTCTGTTGTTATTTATATTTTTCTTATCTATTTTCCGGATATTTTTTTCATATCACTTAAAATCATATTAGCCAATCTCCTTTTAAAAAGAATAAACTCATTGGGATTATAATTTGAATTGCACTAAATTTTACATTAAGGTATGAGGACTAGCATTATTGTAGAATTAAGTCTTTCCACAGAGAAGCAAATTCTAACTTACGGTAGATTAATTTTTTTTTTGGATGTTACTGTTTTGGTTCTTTAACTTGCAAAAGGATATATCTCTTGGACTTAAAATATCTATCTCTTATTTTGATAATATACATGGGTTTATATTCAAATTTGGTCATCTGTATTGTTGAAGTTTTTCATTATGAGAATATTTTTATAATGTCATTTTATCTCCTTGAGAATGTTTTTTGAGGCCAGGTTCTGAATATGGTTGGAAGTAAGTTGGGATAAAAATAGAACAGAGTTAATTTTTAGCTTTAATTTAGTGGTGACCTTGGAAGTCAGCTTTATTAAGGTACTGTTAGATTTCTTCTGAGAATTTTTGGTGAACAAAATCTACTCTGCTCACTAGTAACCCCAAGAAGATCCATAAAAGATCAGTGGTTTGTTTTACAGGAGCTGCCTCATAAATATAGGAGAATACCAACTGATAGTGTCTCTTCCCCTCAGCTAATAAGGGTAGACACTTAATAGGTATAACCTAGACTTATTTTTTTTTAGCCAAATGAACTTAAATAGAAAAATGTATAGACTATGAAAGAATATTTATTTAAACTTTGCTGGATTTTCCAGAACACTCTCCAGACTTCATCATGCATATAATAGAGCATAGTTTTAGTATGTTTGATTTGATGCTCTTAACCGAAAGCAACTATGGTATCATCATCCATTCAGTTGCACTTGACAAAATTTTAATCTAAGTATCATCTTCAATTTCAATATTTTCCACATATTCCACATACTATCTGCCAGCACATTTTTTGAGCCTTGCTTCTCTAATATCTCTGAAACTTGACCTCTTCCATTACGTTTGTTAAATCCGGGCCCAATGCTTGAACCTCTCTTACACGGATTTCTGCACAATCTTCTGGTATAGCGGGTCTCTTCACCAACAACACAAGTATTGAAACCACGTATTGCCAGTGATGCTTCCAGTTATTAACCTTTTTTGCTGCAGTACCTTGTTTACCTTGCTTATCATTAATGAAGTAAGTGCTTTTAAGTTGTACATTATTTCTCCTGTGGGCAATCTTTTATAATTTATCTTCTCCACTGCATCTTTCATTCAATGGTTTTCTCTATATTATGACAGAAGCAGCATATGTACTTTAAATTCAAAGAAAAAAGTGTTTCACACAATAAATGTGTTTTAATGCTTGCTTTGTAAATTTCCAACAATTTTTATACATTATTTTTGTGTTCGCAGACAAGAGACTTCTAATTCTGTTTTTCTTTTCTTGATAGTGTTTAAACCACTTTTACCATAGCAAAAAAAAAAAAGGATATTTATGTAATTGTTTGTGGATTTAGGCCTTTTGCTATTTAAGTGAGAATTTTTCCAATAAAATTCTAACTCTTTAGGGTTGTTTGGTGACCTTGCATGAAATACTGGACTGGGAGTTGCATGACCTGAGATGTTTCTCAAAAATTTTGGTTCTCTTCATTGTCAAGATGCTTAATTTTGGAATGTCTTATTTATTTTCACGGCTTTATACAGCCATTCACATCTTAAAACACAGTGTGTAAGTTCTGATTTATCATTAATGAAACCAGGTAAATATTAATATTTTAAATTGTTGTGATTTTGAGCTTTTGGGGGTTGGTGTTCATCATATTAGACTACTATTCTTCATAATATGGTTTAGATAGTTATACTCTGAAAAATATCAGTGATGCTATTTTCTTTTATACTTTGTTCTTATTACTCTCATTTTATTCCACAGTTTGTTCATGTTGGTTTGAGTTTTGTTTTTTTTTTTTCACTTGTCAGTTTTATAGGACACATTTTACTAAACCCAGAAAATATTCTTAAATCAACTTAATTGGATATGCTCAACATCACAGTATACTGAAATTAACAGTCTGAGCTCCACAAAGGAGTCTGGCAGCCATTGGCAAACTTGCCTATTATAGGACCTCCTATTCTTCTTCAGGATAACTTGTACACAGCATACCATGAACACATACATATCAATCTGAATATTACACACTTTAATGAAAATGAGTCCATGTTTTCTTATGTTTAGATAAATATGCATATAAATGGAAGTTCTAATATTTTCTTCCTGTACATGCACAACAAATCTATTTTTTTTTCTGCCTTGAATATACGTCACCCTAATTTGTGGACTGATAGACAGCTAGGAGATATTATTTACAGTTAAATGTGATTTCTAATTTTTTCATTTTTTCTTTTATTCTAGATGATTTATTTCCTACAGAATTTGATTGCTATTTCAATTAACTCATTATTATTTTGCTACATAGGGTAACCAGAAACACAACCACAGGCTCTAGGCAAACAAAACTTGCACACATTGCTGATCACTAAGCTATCCCCATGTACTCTATCATTTCACTGTGGGGAAAATATGACATATGTCATTTCTTCTGCATTGAACTGTCTCTCAACAAGCTCACTTCCATGCACCCCCATCTCCTCTTCCTGACAGGTCTGCCAGAATGTTTGATGACTTATTGTTACTATTACATTTATCCTGCATCATCAATAAGCAAGTCCTAGGAAGGGAATACAGATTAATTCACTAAATGATACATTGATACATTCTCAGTGTTATTGCCTATTACTCAAATGTTAATGCAATGGTTATGGCAATCTCAATGTAAAATAAAATATTTCTGACTTAATAATAGTAGGCCATTAAATCACATAAATGTCTGAGAGCTCTCTGGGGAGTGTTAAAATTGAGCAGCCAAAACCAGCTGAGGAGGAAAAAAAACCAACAACAATCTGAGTATCTTTTGCTTTTCTTTCTTTTAAATAATCTTTTTTATAGAGTAAATTGTAGGGGAAATTATAAGCAATCTAAAATCACAAATGTATGGTCTTTAATGTATTATACAGGTTTTATAAAGGCCCATTTTTTTCCAAAATAAGCAAAATAAAGAGAGTCACAAACTATTTAATTGTAAAGCCTAAAGATAACCTTGGTCAAATTTTATTCTGATACTATTTTGAATTATTTTCTTTCCAATATAGAACAATATTAGTGACTGAACACCCAATTTTAAAGAAATAATTGTGTATAGGCTATGGACAAAAATAATTTGGAGTGATTCTAGCCAAAGTGAGACAGGAAACATAAAGAAATGTAATGCATTCTAATCCTTCTATTTTCTTCTGTGGTTTACAAATTTGCCAAGGTGTCTGGTAATTAGGTTAGAATGCATAGTGAGATCATTGAAAGAGAATATGTTTTCTCCCCTATTTACTTTATTCTCTCTTCAAATAATTATGAGTTCTTGTCATATACTAGGCAATGTTCTCTGTATTGGAGGTGTAACAGAAGATAAAACAATGCCTGTTAGGGTTTCACTCTGCTAGAGCAACAAATAGTAGGCAAAACAATGAATATTTATATATTAGGAATAAAAAGATGTTACTGAGAAAATACAGCAGGGTAAAAGATTAGGTATAGGAATGGGTCCTATCTGATAGAAAGTTATCAGAGGAAACTTCTCAAATAAATTGACATTGAGAAGTGATCTGAAGGAAGTGAGATAATGAGAAAATTGATATCTGGAAGGAAAGACACATAAACAATCCTTGAGTCAAGTGAGCATATGTTGTATTCATGAACCTGAAAGGGACTATATGGTTGGACCCGAGTGAGCAAGAGAGAGTGATAAGAAAGATGATTATCATGGACCGATACAGCTTATTCATTTGCCCCTGTCTCCAGTTTACTCAGGCCTTAGTTAAAACAATAATGAATCTGCTTTGAAATACATATTTTAAAACATAAAATCACCCTATGAACTATTTGTTTATTTTTTACTTTATCACCTTATATTGTTCTTCCATGAGACCTGGCATTGAGAGAACAATACCAGAAATAGAGATCTTTTTTATTCTCTTCATTTCTGAGTTTATTCTAGGCTTTTCATTTAGCCTTATGTTTGTTACTTTAGGAATGTACTTGAAAATATGTTTGTCACAAGGACACAGTGAATGAAAAAGCAAGAACTGAAATAATAGCTTTTAAAGATGGCCTGCAAATGGATTATCTGCTTAGCCATTCTTTGTTGTTTTAAAAGTTTTTGATTGAAGAACGTATGAAAGAGAGTGCGAGCGAGCACGCATACATGTGTGTGTGTATTTCCAATCTGAATACCAGAAGACTACAGTAAAACATACCGTGTTTCAGATGTATTTAGAAAAGGCAATATGAGCAAATGGGAGGATATATTAAAGGCAGGAAAAAGACAGGAAAAAAATATTACTATGGGGGGCTCTTTTCCCAGTGACCACCAAGCTTCTGTTAGGCACATTGAATCCTTGTGGATATACTTGTAATAATGGATAGAAAATTAAATTGAAATCTAAACCCAAATAAAGTTCTCTTAATTTGATTTTGTCCTCTGGCATACCATAAGACATGAATAATTAAATAATGTTACAAATTAACAGCCTTTCCTTGTGTTATTCAACAAACTTTTATTTGCATTCAGTCTTCTTGATGTATGTGTACTTGTCCCTATACATTTTCATATTCACAATATAGGCAGAAAAGTCACCTATACTCTCTGTATGTCAGTTTCATCAACTGCAAACTGAGAATGATAGTAATTACAACATAAGGTGAGTATAGGAATCAGTGCAATAATCTATTCATAGTGCTTAGTACACACACTGACACATAGTAAACACACCATGTGATAATTATTGCTATTACATAGTACCATTTAGGAACAACCAAAATAAGATTGAATGAGAAAAATCATTTTGTGTATCTTTCACATTGCTATTTTGCATTTGATTGCCCTTCCTGTCTACTGTACTAGGGAGAAATAATAGGAATATAAGGAAAATAGAAAGACAACAAGGTTGGTGGGGCAGGTTCCAGTTATGTCAAGGGCAGTATTCCCCAAAGTAGATTTTTCAGAAATTAAAAATAAACTAAATTATATTGTTAAATAGATTCTATATTATTTAGCTCTTTGAGAGATCTTCCCCCCATGGCCAGAAAAAGAGGCCTCAGTGTCACTGAGATGATAACACAAAACAAACACCAGAAACAACAAAAAAGTTGTTGTTTATCCAAGATTTTTCAAATAAAACAAGCTATAAATATCTAAACATCCTGCTAGTACCTCAATTTTTTTTTTTACTTTTTTTAAGGAGAAGGTGCAATTAGATTAAACTGAACACTAGTAAAAATGTAATTTAGAAGAAAAACAACAGATTTTGTTATCCTGAAAACCTAGTTCAGGGAAACGCACAAGAACTGAGAAAGAACATCAATATAAAGGCCTTGATATGAGAATAATAAGCTGAGGTGGCAGCCTTTTTTTGAAGTCAGAGCTATTGTATGATCTTTGTGTTATACAATTACATGTATGGGACTTACATGTAACTTAATAATTATGAATGAAATACAGTTTTAATTTGCCTGAATCCTGGATTGCAATTATCCATCTTAGTGCTATTTTTTGAAGCATAGATAAATAAAAACTGATTACATTTTTGGAAAAATAGGTAATCTGTAGAGAAAATCAGTGTACTTGATGTATCCCTCCCATTGCATATTTCCTTCTCAAACTGAACAGAATCAGAGAATTCCATTTGCTAGTTACGTTTTCTTTATTTACATATTGGTTTGTGAGCATGCTCTGAGCTGCTGCAATAGGTTTAAGTCCACATTTTAGCAACACCATATGTAATATGCTGGGATGATTCTAAATATCTGATAAACTTGTATTGAATTCTAGTACTGTTCAAAATGACAGCAAAAGAATATTCTAATAGTTAAAACATTTAATAATGTGAGCAGCAGTACAATTTTCACCATTTTATGTCCTATTTGTTTCAAATATTTAAATTAACTTTGTGCTAAAATAGTGGAACTACAATAAGCCAAATCTTTCGAATTAGACATTAGTGTGTCTAAAGATCATAAATATAGAAATAAAAATAAACACATTTTTGGATGGTATTTCAGTATAACTTTGGTGAAAGATAGATGCCATGGTAGAAATAAGTTCGGGCCAGGCGCGGTGGCTCAAGCCTGTAATCCCAGCACTTTGGAAGGCCGAGGCGGGCGGATCAGCAGGTCAGGAGATAGAGACCATCCTAGCTAACACGGTGAAACCCCGTCTCTACTAAAAAAAAAAAAAAATACAAAAAATTACCCGGGAGGGCTGGCGGGCGCCTGTAGTCCCAGCCACTCCGGAGGCTGAGGCAGGAGAATGGCATGAACCCGGGAGGCAGAGCTTGCAGTCAGCAGAGATCGCGCCACTGCACTCCAGTCTGGGCGACAGAGCGAGACTTGGTCTCAAATAATAAATAAATAAATAAATAAATAGTTCGGATAATTAAGGTAGAAATTAGGGTATAAGTATAATTATTTTAGAACAGCATGATTCTTTTGAATAAGAGAACAATAGGAACAAATACATTATTTAGGGAGACATTTCTAGTAGGTTTTAAAGAATAACTTATGTGCTAATTTAATTTGTAGGTAAAGTGAATTTTAGTTACCCCTAGCCAATCTTCATGGACAAATTGTATCAGCAATTAAACTTTATTAGGGAAAATAAGATAAAATAATTTGCGTGAAACGACTAAAAGAAATATCGTACCAATGACCTCTTCTAATAAATACTATTCACAAAAAAAGTTGTATAATCTGTTCATGTGTCCTTAAAAAGACAAAAACAAGCCTAACTGGAAAATCTCCAAGCCCCTTAGGGAGAGGCCTCAGCCCTCTTATATTTCAACTCTAACCATTGCCATTTATCAGAGTGAGCGTTCAATAGGCCCAGCTCAGATGAAGGGATGGAGAGAAGAGGACTATGACAATGATAAAGAGTGAACTTATCTTTATTGGTTCAAAAACTATTTTATTTGGAATACAACTAGCAAAATGGAAAAAAATACAAACTTTAAAAACAAATTACTTTGAAACAGATTCTTAGTCACCTAGGCTAGAGTTCAGTGGCACAATCATAGCTCACAGCAGCCTCGAACTCTTGGACTCAAGTGATGCTCCTGCCTCAGCCTACAGAGTAGCTAGGATTACAGGCCCGTGCCACCACACATGGCTATTTTTTTTCTTATTTTTCTGTAGAAATGGGGGTCTCGCTATGTTGATTGGGCTAGAAAAGATTTCCAAAATGGTGGTAAGAGTTGCTCAGCATGTCCTCTCACCAGAGGAACATAAATTTAACTGCTGAAAGTTATTTATAAAAAAAGAAAAAAATAAAGTCTTTGACATTGTCTTAAATGGCATACAAAAAAGGGAGAAACACCTATTAGAACCTTATGGTAATCAGAGACAAGAGTCTGTGGTATTTGAGTCTTGATTGTTCCCTTAATTCCTCCCTCATTCCCACCCAACAAAGCGTCACAAAAGCTCAGAAGCTCCAAAGCAAAGAAGTTCCTTCACCCCCCAACTCCTATTCTAGGACTACAGTTTCATTCTGAGAGGGGCAGGCCACCAGTAACTCTGATCTCTGCTGCTGTGATAGTTGACAGTATAGTGTAGCCATATCTTGTATATGTACTAGAAAACCAAAATCTTAATGGCTAACTTTATTGTGACATTTGTTTTATTGTGATGATCTGAAATAGAACCCACAATATCTTTGAGGTATACCTGTAAAATCAAAAGTACAAATGATATGATAAACACACAAAAAAACAAGTGAATGAATAAATGAATGCACATCAAAATATGCCTGACAAAATTAAGTTTATTTTTTGTTGCAAATCAGTTTATTTTTTGTTGCAAATCATATTGTTATATACAATGTAAGAAAACACTTGTTAATCATGTATCTGGTAAGGTACTTTTAGCCAGAATTTATAAAGAACACTTACAATTCAATAACAATACAGAAATAAACACATTAAAATATGAGCAAAGCATTTAAGTAGTTACCTCTTCAAAGAAGACAGCAGTGGCCTGTAAGCACACAAAAATATACTTGACATCATTAGTCATTTAAAAAAAAATACAAGTCTAAACTTGAAAACGCTACCACTTTACAACCACTAGATCAAATATAATAAAAATATAGACAATAATTTTCCATTAAGTTGTAGAGAAATGGGAACCCTAATATGTTGCTAGTGAAAATGTAAAATCATCCAGCAATTTTGGAAACTATTTTGGCAAGTCCTCAAAATGTTAAATATAAATTTATCATATGACCCATCAATTCCAATTCTTCCATGTTCTGAAGAAAATTGAAAATATGTATCTACAGAAAAGTTGTCCAAAAATGTTACAGTAGCATTAATAAAAATTTAAAAATGGAAATAATCCAAATGTCTATCAACTGAGGAATGGATAAATGAAATATGTTACATCTGTACAATGAAAGATTAGATGGCGATACAAAGGAATGACATACTGACGCATGCCACTAAATGGACTAACCTTAAAAAATTATGCTAAAAACAAGACAGTCACAAAGACAACATATTGGTCATTACCATTTATAAGAAATATACAGAAAAGGCAAATGCATAGACACAAAATACATTATTGATCACCTAGAGCAGATGGGGAGATGGGAACTGAATGCTAATAGATTCTTTTCCTGGTTAAAAAAAAAATTCTAAAATTAGATTTGTGATGATGGTTGCACAAATTTCTAAATATACTAAAATCACTGAATTGCAAACTTTAAATGGTAAAGTGTATAGTTCGTGAATTATATCTCAATATAGCTGTTTAAAAAATACATAGAAATTTTACACATAAAGCTATTTTTTAATAGTGTAATGGAGTCATTATACAGGTAATCAAATTAAATGTTCATTTAAAAACTTATCTGTAGGAATTTTGCTGGAATTTGCACAATATTTTCTCTAATTCACTATTTTTAATATTCTCATTTTTTAATTGACAAATATAAATTGTATATATAATACATTGTTCTGAAATACACACACGCATGCACACATTAGGAATAGCTAAATTGACTCGTTAATAAGTGTTAGGGAAGCAGAAGGAGTCAATATTCTGCCTAAGACAATCCCTAAAGTACAAGCTAACACCTGATTTACTCTTTCTCTGTCCAAGCAAGGTTAGATAATCACATATAGAACTTTAAGAAATACCCTCCAACTTTGTAGGAAAAATCAAGTGTGAAACCATAAATATGGTACATAGGAAGGGGAGAGTTATTTTCTGGACTCCTTTAACTGATAAGCAAAGATACAATATATCATGGATGGAGGCTCCTGACATACCAGTTTTATCAAAGCAGAAATTGCAGATATAAATTATTATAAATAATTACAAAATGAAATTTTTGTAAAAATTAGACCAGAGGGAAAAGAAAATTAGGTGGGTCTTGATTTTAAAAAAGTGGGTGTTGGAGTGGATTATGAGTTTTGATTATGCATCCAGCTCTGAAATGTTTATAAACTTGTTTGCTACTGACTCTTTAGTGCAGAATAGAAACAGAATAAAAGCCTATACTTAACACAGGGGCACAATGGAAAATGTTGCTATGCGTGTAACTGTAACTCAATCATTATATGTAACAGACAAGAAAAGAGAAAACTAGCAAAGAGGACTTTCATAAATAAAATGGTCACTTAAATTCAAGTAAGTTTTATGAGTATATCTATTTCGTGATTTTACTTTTAACATATTATTTTAACAATGTGAAAGGAAGAAGACTGAATCAGTGAAAAATAACTATATATAAGATCTTCCATTTTTATGTAAGTCTAATTTCAAAATATTTAACAAAACCAGTCATTTTCTACCATGTAAAGTGAAATTAGTAAGTATTTGTATTTAAAATGAAATAATTAGAAAAATATTTATGCATTTATTTATGTTAAAATGTTTTAGGAAAACACTGTCAGGAATTTCAAGTAGATATTTCAGAGGAAAAATCTGTTATAAAATTGTGTTGCCAAGAAAGGGGAATGCTTATACACTGCTGATGGGAATGTAACTTTATTCAGCCACTATGGAAAGCAGTTCAGAGATTTCTCAAAGAACTTCGAACAGAAATACCATTCAAACCACCAAACCCATTACTGGATATATATCCAAAGGAAAATAAATTGTTCTACTAAAAAGACACATGCAATTGTATGTTCATTGCAGCACTATTCACAACAACAAATACATAGAATCAACCTAGATACCCATTAATGGTAGACTGGATAAAAAAATGTGGTGATATATACCACAGAATACTATGCAGCCATAAAAAAGAACAAAATCACATCCTTTGCAGTGACATGGATGTAGCTGGAGGCCACTGTCTTAAGGTAATTAACAGCAAAACACAAAATCAAATACCACATGTTCTCACTTATACATGGAAGCTAAACATTGAGTACACATGGACATAAAGATGGGAACAATAGAGACAGGGAGCTACTAGAGAGGGTTGGGAGGGAAGGAGGTGGGCAAGTGCTGAAAAAACTACCATTAGGTACGATGTTCAGTACCTGGGTGACAGGATCATTCATACCTGAAATGTCACCATCAAGCAATATGCCCATGTAACAAACCTGCAAGTGTACCCCCTGAACCTAAAATAAAACTTGAAATTTAAAAAAATCAGCCGGGCATGGTGGCTCATGTCTGTAATCCCAGCACTTTGGGAGGCCAAGACGGGTGGATCACAAGGTCAGGAGATCAAGACCATCCTGACTAACATGGTGAAACCCCGTCTCTACTAAAAATACAAAAAATTAGCTGGGTGTGGTGGTGGGCGCCTGTAGTCCCAGCTACTTGGGAGGCTGAGGCAGGAGAATGGTGTGAACCCAGGAGGCAGAGGTTGCAGTGAGCTGAGATGGCACCACTGTACTCCAGCCTGGGCAACAGAGTGAGACTCTGTCTCAAAAAAAAAAAAAATCAAAATATATATGCTACAAATACATGGATTTTTAAAATCAGATATGTTTTCTGTACAGGTGTTTAATGTTAGTTTCTTAACAGATTTTTTTTCTGCTTATAGTACAAAGTAAAACATTCATCAGGGTAGTAATTTGAGGTTTAGAAAGTTACCCATTAGAATTACATGTATGGTATTAGTATTTTGTATTATACAACTGAGGTAAACATAGCCATGCATTTAATATTATTTGTCCTTTCACAAATAAATATGTATATCTTAATTTCAAAAACCATTTTCTTTAATATCAACTCTTGTTGCACCCAGCTTCTAAACCCACAAAATTCTGAAGATTTTCAAATTTGTTCATTTAATGAGGTTCTGTTACATTTCTGCTTATATCTGCTTGTTTATCTGGAGTCATCTTAATAGTAGGTGAAAAAAATATTAAAGGCAAAAATTTTAAAAGAATTTTTAAAATCCTAGAGTGGGCATTAGCCAATTGAATAGAATAAATATATGAAAATTTACATTATGTATTTAGCAAAGTTTATACTTTCAGATAATTTTTATATATTAAACTAGCCTTTAGTTAACAAAAATATCCAGATTATAATTTGTACCAAGATATTTTTGTAAACCTTATTGGTCACATGTGAAGGGTGATTCTTGTCTATAATTTATTGATTCATTTATGTCAAAATAATATATAGAAATGCTTTATTAATTTAAAAATTGTGGTAATTGTTATTTTTACGCTCTCATTTCAAATAAATGATTAGGAGACAATGAGCATCACCCTGTGAAGACAGGATATGTCTTGTTTTGGCCTGTGTCTATGAGTTTTTCATTCTGCAGACTAATTTTTACACATTTTTTAAACCAGAAATGTAATGGAGATTAAGGGCAATAAAATGGAGATTACCTGACAAAATATTTTAGCCAAGCTCAATTTTAGTAAGCCTATGATATTCTCAGCTCTTATTTTTTGAACTATAATGAGAAGAATATGGCAGCTGTTTGTCATCCTATCATTCTTCCAATAACTTTTTTAAGCATATTAATATGATTGTAATTTTATATTAATCATGTAACTGACTTGTCATTGTAGCATTTGTTCATCTTCAGTTATGTTACCAAAATTTGGGTGTTTTATTTATTGGTATTTCTAATACTTTTAAATGAAATTTTGTGGAACAGGACATAAAAATATTTGGCTATTCCTACCTTTTGCCATTGAATAAGATTTAAAACCAGCAATATATGGAAAGGTTTTGCTCTGAATTTTAATTTTCTTTTGAGAGGAGTTCAAGAATGTAACCATAAATTATGATTATCATGTTAGTCATAATAGCAATAACAACATTATGGTGGATCATTATTTTTTAAAAGTGCTTTCGTACACTTTATTTTTAGTTCTGTCTCTCCCTCTCTCACACACAAAGAATAGAAAAGGCATTAACTTCTATTTCAGAAATAGAACACTATGATTAAAGAGGTCTAATAATTTGGGTATGATCACAAAATTACTAAAAATCAAACCTAGGATTCAAACCCAGCGCTTCAGAGATCAAAATGAGATAACTTTTCAATATAATCATGATGATGCTTTGGATTATTTCTTCTGACAAGTGACAGTGAAATATTAATTGAAAATGGATAAAAAGTGATTCTAGTATTATTGATTCATGTATTGGTGTGCCTATCTTGAATATTACATATATTATATATATATTATATTTTTAAAAGGATTATATACCTTGTTTGGCAATTATCTTTACATAATAGTATTTGAGAGTAAAAAATATAACAGGAATTAATAGAAAATGAATAAAAGTATAGCAAACTACTTTTTGTATAATATAGTATTCACATTGTTAGACTTTAAAGTTCTGAAATCAAACTTTGGTAAAAAAGAAAAATGTTTCCATCTATATACATATACCTAAAGCCATTACTATGAACAAATCTTGGTAATTGAAAGAGAACTGTACTTTATGGTTTTACATGACCATTTTGTGATCATTTGAAACACAAATCAGTAATTTTTACTGTCTTAATTTTTACCATTTTTCTTTTGCCAAAATGGGCCATGATTCACTGTAATCAGTTAAATGTTCATTCTTTTACCAAATACACTGTATGATATCAATTTCTTGCATACCCATACATCATTCCATCTATAATTACTAGTTCAAAAAATGAAGAATTTGTATAACAGTATTTCAATGTTAGCAATGGGTCCTAAACAGCAGATCCTGCTTATGAACTCATTTAAATCTCATAATAACCTTAGATGGACATACCATTATTTATCAGAATCGTAAATGAGGAACAGACACCAAAAGCATAACTGTTTGCCCATGCAATTATACAAATGTGGTTTATAGCACTACCACAATCCTTGATTGATTGATTGATTGAGACAGGGTCTTACTCTGTCACCCAGGCTGGAGTATTTCTTTATTTTCAGTTTTTCCTACTGTCACTTCTTTAATCCCCTTTTGCCTAAATGGCACAAATCCCTCTCCTTTTAGATATCTGAGATCAGTGTGGAAGGTCTACTGGAAATCTGCATTCAGTTATAATGATACAAACCTATACTATTCAAGTCTCTAGAGAATGTTCTAAAATGTAATGATATTTCTAAAACATTCCTTATACTTTGTAGTTCAAGTAGTGTCCTAAGTGTTCATGATGATAGACTTTATAAGAGGCCCCTGACTTGTATATGTTTGAATAGTATCTGGGTATATGCAAAAACAGTTATAGTGAGCAAAGTGCAGAGCTAATTTTTATACAAATTTATTTGGCTTTCGTTTATTCGCGTAAAGGCATATGCTTACTCCTGGAAAATGTAGATGTATTACCCAGGTTTACCCAGTTCTCTATTATGTGCTTATATTTTAGATTTTCATTTTGTATTTAATATAAATGTAAAAACGTGTTAATATATTCAAGTGAAAGAAAAAGAGCATAAACAAAATTGGTCTTCAGCACATCTACGACCTTATACCCAACTTAATCATTTTCAGTATATTCATTTTAATTTATGTTTTTGAACACTCACATAAGCAGAAACCACATTCATTGTATTGGCCAAAGAAAAGATAAAGAGAGATTTAATCTACAAATGCTTAGCTTGCATCAGGCAAAGATGAAAAGTGGTCCTAAGTTGCTGTGACGAAAGTTTCACAGTAATTAGCTTTGAGGAAAACAGTAAAATCTTTGCTTTATAGTCATAGTACATGAAAGTTTCTACCTATTAAATGTAAAAGAAACTGTACCACTGAAGTCAGTACCATAAAGGTGTTATAAGCATATATTTGGTAGCCACAAACCATCATCTGCCAAAATGATACTGTTATTTATTTTTTTTTTATTTGAGACAGAGTCTCACTCTGTTGCCCAAGCTGGAGTACAGTGGTGCAATCTCGGCTCACTGCAACCTCCACCTCCCAGGTTCAGGAGATTCTGCCTCGGCCTCCCTAGTGGCTAGGAAAACAAGCGTGCACCACCATGCCCGGCTAATTTTTTGTATTTTCACTAGAGACGGGGTTTCACCATATTGGGCAGGCTAGTCTTGAACTCCTGACCTCGTGATCCACCTGCCTTGGCCTCCAGAAGTTCTGGGATTACAGGCATGAGCCACCGTGCCAGACCCATTTTACGGGTTTTATATTTACTTTGTAATTTTAGGTTATGGTGTAATTGAGTATGTAAGCCTAAGAAATGTATTCCAGTACCTTAGAATATGACCTAATGCCTGAAGTTTTGTACATTTTAAGTAACATAATGGAAATTCCGGTAATATTAGGATCCTCAAGATATTTTTCCCTTTAAAGAGTAATTAATCATATGTAAGAAATGCTGATATAATCCAAACTAACAAATTAATGCTACTAATAATATTTATTACAAATTACTATAAATATTTTACTTTATTACATAAGAGGTGCACATAATTCAAAAATCAAGGAAATTTTTCCTAAATAATCTAACATGTAAATTAGCAGAATCACATATGTAAGCCTAAGAAATATATGCCAAAATTTTTGTACATTTTAAGTAACATAATAGAAATTCTGGTAATATTAAGATCCTCAAGATTTTTTTTCCCTTTAAAGAGTCATTAATCATATGTAAGCAATGCTGATATAATCCAAACTAACAAATTAATGCTACTCATAATAATGATTATTACAAAGTACTACAATGTATATATTTTGCTTTGTTACTTAAGAGGTGCACACATAATTCAAAAATCAAGGAAAATTTTGCTAAATAATCTAGAATGTAAATTACCAGAATCACATAATTTTGCCATCTTAAAATATTGAAGCTCAAACTCTGAAGATTAGCGACTTGTTCAGAGTGGCAAAAATTGTCATAAAGAGCTGGAATTACAATCTACATCACCTAATTCATGCTTCAATTTCCTACTGTAGCTGTCAGCTTGTACCTCTTGGCATTATGAACTATATAAAGGAGAAATATGATATGTGAAATAACTATAGAATAAAAATTGCCAAACCTTCATACCAACTACTTTTGTTATAGCTTTTTTCCTTATTGTGTCTTATGCAGTTTATCCACATATTTTCATTGCACATGTATACATCCAACTCTTCATAGTGTCATACATATTCCATTTATTTCAATTTACTTCCAGTAGATTAAATGTGGCTCAGTCACAGTACTATTAAGGATGACAACCTCTCTGCATATTTAAGAGAAACTTGAACAAAGTAAATCAGTTATACTATTTTCCATGTTGAAGAATGAAATCTTGACATCCTCTGTAATAGCACAACTACAAAATTCTCCACCAATATTTTAAGGCAGAACATCTAGCTTAGGCTCATATACTGAATATTTTCTTGCAATGCTAGCCAATGCATCTTGGTTTCTGTGACAATTTAATGCTGCAAAGATAAAACTTTAATGAACCTTAAAATATTCTTCACCCACCCCTAATATGGCTTTAGCCATACTGAACTCCTTTAGTTATTTTAACACATCATGCTCCAAATTCCTCTGTGACTTTATTCTATATTCTTACTTGCAGGCATTTTTACCCAATCTACTCCCAATTTATTAGTAAATTCCTGCAGAAATTTTAAAAGATCAAACGTCACTAGCTATGTAGTATCTTTAAATCCTGGAAATTCAATTAATGAGATTGTTTCTCTTTGGCATCAACATATCTCACAGAGGCATCTCCATATTATACAAACACTTTGTACATATTTATGCCTGCTAACTGACAATATAAATAGTATAGTTTGTGTTTCTTTTTAATATCTATCTGTTACATTGGATTATAAATACTTTGCATTCTGTGTGTCTTATTCATCTTGGCATTTCCAGTATCAACTGTAGTGATTGGTAAGAAAGGAGATGTTAAATAAAATCACAAATCAATTAATCTGATTCAAATTGGAAATGTGTTTTAATGCTGTAGAAATGATGGTGATCTTCAATTAGAGCTCCAAAGGCTACATCACTTCACAATATATAGAAACTAATGATATCTACATAGCCCTCACTGGTAGAGAAGAAGTTCCTCCTCAGGGATAGCAAGCAAAGAAATCTGAGACTTTGATTGCCTGTGGCCCAGGTCCCTGGTAATGTAGGAGTTCCTTGATAGAAAGAACAAACCAGAAAGACCAGGAAATAATAACACCACTTCCATCCACTGCTTACTCTTAGAGCCGGAGTACCACTTTGAGAAAAAATGGTTCCCTCCACCCAGCTCTGATGCTGTGGCAGGAGGTTCTGCCCACAGGAGAGGCTGGCCGTATGACAAAGAGCTCTGCAGATTTGTCTGAGATGACTGGGTTTACTTGGTACAAAAAGCATAGAATTCCATGCCTAAGGACACTATTAATAAATAATGAAGATCTTGGTGGGCAGTGACTAAGAAGAGGCTAGTAGACCCATAATATACACAGAACAACAGAGCAGCCGGAAATGTGATAGAATCAGGAAGAGAGACAGCCCAGGATGTCCCTTTGGAGATCACAGTCAACTCAGGGCTTCTGGAAGGCTGTGTGCATGTGCTGGGTTGCCCTCACTCAGGAGCAATCTGAGCAGGTCAAGGCATGAAAATGAAAACATTCTCCAAGCTACATGCAGACCCATCAACACAGGGTAGAAACCTCATAGACACAAGGAGCTTAAACACAACTTCTAGCAAAACAGTGACTGAACAGTTAATTATTCTGACATGGAGGTAGCTACTAGAGAAGCTAAACGTAAAGATAAAATAACACTTATCCTCAGCTTTCTGGAAGACTGTACATGCCCAACAAGGCTGCACCCTTTAAAGTACAATAAGAGAAGGAACCTCCAAGCTGGCAGTCTGTTGAATGTGAGACTGACATAAACTCCCTAAATAATGATTGCAGCCTCCAAGCCACACACACATATCCAACAGTAAAAGGGTAAAACTCCAACTGGCTAAGGAGAGCTTATGCAAAATGTTTCAACAATAAATAGCTATATTCTTCCTGGGACAACCTCTAGATATTAGACTCAAAGATTAAAAATAAGGGGAAAATATGATCAGGGAAAACACTGCAAGGAAAATATCCCTCACAGAGTTAATTCAGTCAAATCACTATGCAAACAAATGACCAAGCAAACGGCAGCAATAATAACCACTGCCAGATGGAGGGGTGGGTAATGTATTCATAGGTGCTACAACATATTACCGAAAATATCCCACTTGCAACAGAAATATATGACACATGCAAAGAAACAAGAAAATATGACCCATACACAGTGAAAAAGCAAACAAGAAAAACTGTCTTTGATGGGGCCTACATGGTAAATTTAGCCAAAAAAGACTTCAAAGCAGCTCTTAAAAACATGCTCAAAGAATTAAAGGACACTAAGATTAAATAAAGGATGGCATGATGACAATTTCATATCAAATGGAGAATATCAATAAGATACAGATATAAGAAATACAAAGGAAATTCTTTAATGAACTGAAATGAAAAATTCACAGGAGCAGACTAATAGTACTGACACATGTGACAATATTGATGGATCTTGAAAACATGCTAAGTGAAAAAGTCACAGTATCTATAATATTCCATTTATATGAAAAGTCTAGAATAGGCAGTTTATAAGTTGATTAGTGATTGCCTAGAACCTTGAGGGTTATTATGGGTCAAATTATCACTCCCCACCCAAATTCATATGTTGAAGTTCTAACTTCCAGTACCTTAGAATATGACCTAATTTGGAAATAGTATAATGTATTCTATATGGGAATGAAAACAGGCATTAGGTAAAAACAGAAGCTAAATCAAGTATGGACTTCAGTTAATAAATCACTATTTTCATTAATTGTGACAAATGCCAGATCTTAAGCTGTTAATAAGAGGAGAAACTGGGTGAGGGGTATATGGGAACTCGGTGCAATCTTTGTAACTTTTCAGCAAATCTAAAACTACTCAAACGTTTAAGCATGAGACTGAGGCATAAAAAAAGATTTTATCCTTATTATTATAGAGCATGTTAAGAAATTTGGACTTTAAGAATTTTGGAAAATAATTGAAAGATTAATTATAAGAAAGTAGTCACTTTTGAGGAGTCCATTAATACAGTAGATCACAGTGGTTTTAGGCAATATTTGTTCTCCGAAAGTACCACATGCGTGATTTGATGGGAAATCAAATATTACTTTTTTCTTCTCTGTAGTCATGTAGTAAGGATTTATATTTTAATTTTGGACATTATATCTGCACCCACAGTTCTGGTAGCTCCACCATGCAATGGTGCACAAATACAGAGACATAAACATAGACATATGCAACTTGGACTGATTAGGAATATGTCTCTTGGAACTTCAGAAAAGAGAAGGCTGAAGAAACTGTATATAATATAATGTATCATATCTTCTACAGACCTGCTTTTTTACTTACATAGTGTATTTTATAGATAAATATAGAACATTTTAAAAAGAAATATAAACACTTAGATATGGTCTTGCACACAATAGTGGCATTGCCTACACTGGCATATAGATTGGATTCACTAATTGCTATGTGAGTTTTCCAGCTTAATCTCAGGAGAAGCCTTTATATCTTTTTCAACCACAAGACTTGGGAACTATTCATACCACTACTTGCTTTCTCCTGATTTAGAGTGCCTTTTGTTTTTAAATCATATGACTGCATAGTTGCATATTTCTCGGTAACTAAGGATTTAAGGAATTATAAATATATCCCATGACTGGAGTCTTTCAAAGGAGATGATGTATTTTCACTAAGAGGATATCTATCAATGTTTCATTATTAAATTTAATTATTAAGCAACACTCCAGAAGAAAAACTTGCCTGTACCTATAACTTTCTCAAACCTTGATAGCACATTTATCCTTTGCTGTTCATCCATTTGTGTATTTATGGTCAAGGTGAAAAAAACTGAAATCTGTGATACAGACTTTATTGGCTTTGAGCCATCATGATGATTTTCTCTGCCAACACAATGTATTATTTCATAATTAGGTAAAGAGTCTCTCCCCAATCCTCTCTTTTAATAAAACACCACAGAGAGGGAATTTGAGCGACATAGAACAATTTTAGAATTTAACTGTTTTAATGAATGGATTTCATTCAAATAAATACATGCATATATTCATACACAATTGTGTGATTTTTATATATTTTATTTTTTCTGATCTAATACACAGAGAAATAAGCCAAAAATAATCATATGCAGGATATTATTGCTTAAAAAGCAACAGAAATTCAGATATATATGTCTGAAAAGAAAATATATATATATTTTCTTTATATATATATAAAATATATATATAAAAGTATATATATAAAAGTATATATATAAAAGTATATATATATAAATACATATATATAAAAGTATATATATATACACATATATATATATAAAAGTACATATATATATACTTTTAATTTTGGGGTACAAGTGCAGGTTTGTTACATAGGTAAACTAGTATCATGGAGGTTTGTTGTACAGATTATTGTATCACCCAGTTATTAAGCCTAGTATGAAATATATATTCACTTTTTGTTTTTCTTAAATACTGCCAGTAAAAGTAAAACATCACTTCACCTGTACAATTAAGAGCATGCCATGTAACACAATGAAATATTTTTTTCCCAAAACAATGATAGCTTTGACATGCATATTACTACTGCAAATTTTAAAATTTCTACTCATATAAAAGAGGGATATTCCAGACAAATTTCAGGCCTTACTCTCTGAAAAAAGATATGACTCAAAGAAAAATAATTGTCAACGTTGTAACTCAGGAGTATGTGAAAAATGAGGGGAGGCCCTCCACATGTGAGATAGGCCCATTGTTCAAATACAGACTCTCTAGGAAAAAAAAGACATGAAAATAAATTTTGCATTGTTGATAATTGCATTTAACCAAGACAGTAAATTTTTCTCTCTGAAAACATTTTTAAGGGACGAGGATTAGCAACTCATATTAAAGTTAAAAAGAGGTATTAAAATGTATGGCATTGTATAAAAATAATCTTCTGGGGGGAAAACTAATTGTATGCATGAATAATTGTATTATACATGGGTAATTGTATTAACACATTGACCTCATAGATGGTTGCTAAACCTGGACCAATCATTCTGGATGCTCTGCTATTCGCCAATTATTTTTATTTTTTTCTTTATTGGATTTTAAAATCTGTCCAGTTATGGAACAAAACACAGTGTAATCTAGGAGAAAATCACATGAAAGTAAAAAATGGCAAGAAATGTGACTCCTTCTGTTAAGGATTTGATCACTTAATTTATCTTTAGATTACTTCTATTGTGTTATTAGAAGAACAGTTGTTTAAACTGCAAGCTGTCTGTGATGGATTCTACCCTTTATTACTCAAGTGGTTATTGTATAAATATTCACTTTTCATAGTTCATTGACCCCTATACTTTCTAACAGTCTGTCAGCCATTGTTTTCTTTTCATTTCCCCTTATTACTTAAATGGTTGATTATTTTAGAAACATTCCCCTAAGACCCGTGGATTATTTATGTATGTGTCATAGATCTCTGGCAAGACCCATGTGCACTTTATTCTGCTTCTTCAACTGGGCAATTACACAAAACTGTATTACCTCACAATAAAGGAGAATTGTCTTGCAGTAAATGCAACATCTCATATCTAAAATGGACACAGCAAACTGTCCAGATATCACACTTGAGACTTCTCAGTTTCACTCATTGTCACTTTCTTCAACATTATGTTTTTTCACTTTTCTTCACCCTCCTCTGATTTCTGCAACTTGCCACCCAGCTCCAGTCTTAGAAAGAGTATAAACTCACTATCCATGAACTTCTCTCTCTTCTTTCAATCTAAAACCACACCCATCTGCACTCTTGTCTTCTCTTACATTAGAGAACCTTCTTTCTGTCTAATTTCCCGAAAGGGCTCCGGATTCTGCCACTTTTTTTTTTCTGTAACTTCGTTTATTAATAGTACATGTTATTTTCTATACAATTGACTTTTCTCCACCAATTTGGTCCTAAGAGCTTTAGGACCAAAAGCTCTTTTTTGTTCCATGCTCAGTTCTCTACTGTTATATAACACAAACAAAAACAACATCCTTGCTATGCTGTCTCCCTATAAATCTCTTGCTCAACGAAAAAGTTGTTTTCTAAAAATTACTGTCTAAAACCTGCTTCCTTTTTTTCTTTTTCTTTTTTGTTTATCTAGCCGCAACACTAGTTGTTCAAATGGTCCATATCTTGCTAAATACACTGGACACTTTCTAATCTTAATCTTTTAAAACATTTCAGCATTATCCAATGAAGCATTCTTTTCTTTTTAAAAGTCAATTCTGTTTATTTGGCTTCAGTGAAATTGTGTTGTCTTGGTTTTTCTTCTACCAGTTTCTTTGCTCAATTTTGTCTACTCTCAAGAATCTTCTTTCCTTATGGTTACTTTTAGGTCTATAATCCATTTTGTCTTAATTTTTGTATATCTTGCAAGGTATGGATTAAGACTGGCTCTTTCTTTTTTTGAAACAACAATCTGATTCTCCCAGCATCATTTGATAAAATGCTCTTTCCCACTGAATCGCCTTTACACTGTTGTCAAAATTAATTGACCATGTAACTAGATTATTTGTAGATTCTGTATTCTGTGTCATTAACAAGTGTGTCTTTCTCTCTTACCAATACCACCACTCTTGTGATTACTACAGCATTATAACAAGTCTCGAAGTCAGAGAGTGTTAGAACTCCAATTGTATTACTATTTTTTTCGTAGCATTTTCACATGATTTATAAAACCATCTTGCCTATTTCTATAAAATACCTGCTAGGATTTTCACTGGGACTATACTTAATCTGTAGATCAATTTGTGGAGAATTAATATCTGAAAGTATTGATTCAAATGGTAGGGTTTTCACCATGATTAAAAGCTGTTAGGATCAAATTGTTAGAGAAAAGCCAATAGTGTAAAAGAGGAAAAGTATTATTAATGATCCATGACCACAATATATCTATTTATTTAGATATTCTTTAATTTCTGTCAACAGTCTTTTGAAGTTTTAAATGTGTAGGTCTTGCATATTTTTGTCAGATTTACTATATATTTAATGTTACTGAAATATTATAACCATGTGGAACACATGTAATAGTTTCAGTATTTTTAATAGATTTAGTAGGATATTCCACATAGACAATTATGTCATTAGTCAATACTTTTATTTTTTCCTTTTCAATCTGAGTGCTTTTTCTGTATTTTCCTTGTCTTATTTCACCATTTAAAAACCTCCAGTACGATGTTGCATGGAAATGGAGAAAGTGGATATCCTTGTTTCCACATAGACTGCGCTAGCTATAGACTTTTTATGGATGCATCTATTTTTGAAAATTGTGTTAAAATATATGTAACATCAAACTTAACATTTTAACCCATTTTAAAACATATAATTCAGTAGTATTAAATATATTCACGTTGTTATGTGACCATCATCCTTATTCCTTACTAGAACTTTTTAATCATCCCAAACTGAAACTCCCTACCCACTAAACAATAGTCGCCTATTTCCCCCTTCCCACAGCCTCTGGTAACCACTCTTCTATTTTCTGTCTCTATGAATTTCAATTTATACATTATATAAGTAGAATCAAACAATATCTGTCCTTTTTTTGTCTGGCTTATTTCAATTAGCATAATGTTGTCTAAGTTCATTTATGCTGTATCATGTATCATAATTTCATTTTTTAAGATTGAATAATATTCCATTTTATGGCTATACCACATTTTGTTTATTCATTCATCAATGTATGGATATTTCAGATATTTAAGCTTTTGTCTATTATTAATAATGCTCCTATAAACATTAGTGTTAAGATACCTGTTTGAGTTCCTGCTTTCAATTCGTTTATTTATACCTAGAAGTAGAATTGCTTGATCATATATCAATATGATCATACATCAATTTTATGTCTTAATATTCTGAGGAACTGCCATATCATTTTCTACAGTGGCTTTATCGTTTTATACTTCCACAAGCAGTGCAGATAATTCTAATTATTTCATGTTCTTATATGTGTATTTTTAAATAATAGCCCTCCTAATAGACATAAACTGGTGTCTTCTGTTTTATCACCTCACAAAGAAAACTCATACCCAATTAACTGTTACTTCTCAGCCCCTTGTAATCATTAAACTTCTTTCCATCTCTGAATTTGCATACTCTGGACATGTCATATATTGTGGAATAATTCAGAAAATATGTCATATTCACATTCGAAATTCTTTCATGTTGCAACATGTATCAGTACTTCTTGTTTTTTTTTTTTTTTGGTTGTTGTTGTTGTTTTTCCCCTCAGCCTCCCGAGTAGCTGGGATTACAGACATGCACCACCACACCCAGCTAATTTTGTATATTTAGTAGAGATGGGATTCTCTATTTTGATCAGGCTGGTCTCTCACTCCCGATCTCAGGTGATCCACAGGCCTCGGCCTCCCAAAGTGCTGGGATTACAGGCGTGAGCCACTGCACTAGGCCACTTATTTTGCTTTTATAACTGAATAATATTCCATTGTTTGTTATGCCACATTTTGTCTATTTATCATCCGATGGATATTTGGATGACTGCGTTTCTACCTTTTGACTACTGTGAAGAGCACTACTAAATTTGTATAAAAGTATTGATTTGAACAACTACTATTAACTCTTTTGAGTTTATACCAAGGAATAAAATTCTTGGGTCATACAGTAATTCTATTTTTAACTTATTTAGGAACTAACATTCTTTTCCACAGCGGTCTCGCTATTTCATACTTCTATAAACAATATATGAAGGTCATAATGTTTCCACAGCCTCAATGATACTTGTTTTTTCTCAGGTTTTTATGGTTGTTGTTGTTCTACTCAGGATGAAGTGGATCTCACTGTGGCTTTGATTTGGATTTCCGTATTGACAATTGATATTGGGTATATTTTTATGTATTTGTTTACTATTTTCTTTAGAGAAATGTCCGTTCAAGTCCCTTGTCCATTTTTAAATTGGTTGCTTGTCTTTTTGTTGAGTTAATGAGTCCATTATGAGCACAGGATGTATTTTCATTTATTTAGTTTTTTAATTTTTTTTCAGTAATATTCTGCAGTTTAGAGTGTAAGAGCCTTACACCTTCTTGGTTAGTTTATTCATTGATTAAGTTTATTTCTAAATATTTAAATGTTTTATATGTTCTTGCAATGGAATTGAGATTTTAATTTTTAAAAATTTGTTTATGGCTGGTATATACGTACACAATTGATTTTAGTGTGTTGATATGTATTCTACAACCATGTTGAATTTGCATATTAATGCTAATAGATTTTTTTACTATTCTTAAGAATTTCCTATATATAACATCATGAAGTCTTTAAATATAAATAGATTTAATTTTTATTTCTAATAGAGATATCTTTGTTTTTCTTGCATAGTTTTCTGTCTTAAACTTCCAGTGTAGTGGTAAAAACAGATTTCTCTGTCTAGTTCCTGATATTAAAGGTAAAACTTTCCATCTTTTGTTATTGAATATAATATATTTGTGGGTTTTCACAAATGCTCTTTATCATGTTAAAGAAGTTCCCTTGTATTCGTAGTTTCTTGAGTGTTTTTATTACAAAAGTGCATTGGATTTTTGCAAATCTTATTTTTTTCTTCATCAATTGAGTTGATCATGTAGTTTTTTGGTCTCTTTCAATTAAAGTTACGTGGATTGGTTTTCTTTTCCTTTTTTTTTTTTTTCTTTTTTGATGGAGTTTTTTGCTCTAGTTACCCAGGCTGGAGTGCAATGGCACAATCTTGGCTCACTGCAACCTCCACCTCCCAGGTTCAAGCAATTCTCCTGCCTCAGCCTCCCGAGTAGCTGGGATTACAGATGCCCACCACCATGCCTGGCCAATTTTTGAATTTTTAGCAGAGATGGGGTTTCACCATGTTGGCCAGGCTGGTCTCTAACTTCTGACCTCATGATCTGCCCGCCTCGACCTCCCAAAGTGCTGGGATTACAGGCGTGAGCCACCGTGCCCAGCCTATGTGGATTGGTTTTCTATGTTGAAACTCCTTGCATTTCTGGGATACATCCCCCTTGGTGAGGGTATACAATGTTTTTACCATTTTTAATATGCTGCTTTATATTTGCTATACTATATAATTATAATTATATATTATATTATAGATTCAAATATTTTCAATACATTATAATTAGTTTTTAGTTTTCTTGTAAAAGTTTTTAGACTTAGTTTTGTTGATTATTATATTTCAATTCTCTGTATTTTTCTATATATTATACATATATTGAAAAGTTTTCTAACTATATCCATAAGATATATTGGTGTATAATTTTTGTTCCTTTTGTTTGACTTTGGTATTAAGGGTAACACTTTCCTCACAGAATGAGCTAGAAAGTATTCTTTCATCTTCTATTTGAGAAAAATTGATATTATCTGAAAATTTCTGATATTATCTGAAAAACTTTCTTTAAATGTTCATAGAATTTGTCAGTGTGGCCATCTCGTCTTGTGTTTTCTTTTTGGGGAGGTTTTGACTACGAATTCAATCACTTTACCTATGGTAAGTCCGGACAGATTTTGCATTTCTTCCTGACTCATTTTTGGTAGTTTGTATTTTTTCAAGAATTTGTCCAGTTTGTTTTGGTTATATAAATTATTGGCATAGAACTAAGTATTCCTTAGTATTCTTATAAATCCTTTTATCCTTTTATTTCTGTTAAAATAGCAGTAATGTCCCCATCTGCAATTTCATTTCTAATTTTAGTGATTTGAGTATTCTCTCCTGCTGTTTTTTTTAGTCAATCTAGCTAAAGGTTTGTCAATTCAAAGAACCAACTTTTAGTTTTGTTGATTCTCTCTATCGTATTTCATTTCTTGATTTCATTTATCTCCACTCTAATCTTTATTATTTTCTTCCTTTCAGTTTCATGTTTAGTTTGCTATTTTTCTGATTCCTTAAGGTGTAACATTAGGTTGTTGATTTGAGATATTTCTTCTTTTATAATGTAGGTACTTATTGATAGAAATTTCTTCCAAGTACTCCTTTACCGCAGTCTGTAAGTTTTGGCATACTGTATATCTTTTTCATTTGTCTCAACATATTTTTTTATTTAGAATTTACTTTGTGATTGCTGCTTTGACTGATTGGTTAAGAGTGTGTCATTTAATTTTCACATATTTATGAACTCTACTTTTTTGTTCCTTTTATCTATACTTATTTCATTGTGATCCCTAAAGATAGTTTGTATGACTTCAATTTTTTTAATATTTTGAGACTGCTGTGGCCTAATACATAGAGGATGTTCCATGTGAACTTAATAAGAATTTGTATTTTGTTGTTGGTATTTTGCTGTTGTTGGATGGACTATCCTGTGCATGTCTGTTAGGTCTGGTTTGTAGTGTTACTCAAGTCATCTTGTCAAGCAACTTCATTGTGCACTGGTTACCAACTTGTCTGAGTCTAGTGAGACAGGACACTCGTGTACAAGTTACCTTAAGTGAATGTATTACTTACAGATATGCAGCAAGGGAGATCAGAGCCTAGTATCCATTGTGAGCTGGTACTCCAAGACAGGAAAGCTGCCCAGGTTGAGTACAGTCTTATATGTGGTGGACCAACTGGTACCACAGTGGAGGGACCCTGAAAAGCAGCCTGCCAATTTCCTTCCCCAGTCTCTTCTTTCCGAGGCTTTTTCATCTGTCTGCTACTTGACCTGGATGGTATCCATTGTCCTAGACTACTGTGGTAGTGTACTTTGCTATAAATGCTTTTGCCAAATGTGATATAAGGTGCTGTTCTTAGACTGAGAATACTTCTAGGCAATATTCTCAATAAAGGCAAACTTCAGATCCAATCCCTCAGCAACCCACCAAACATATCAACACACATCATATGTCTTTGAAAACAGTCATTTTTGCCTCCTCTGGCACAAGCTAGACACACTAGGAATATAGACCACTTATCTCCACAAATAGCACTAAGTTAGAGACTGGAAGATGATAGAAGGTAAGTTAAAATGTCATATGTTCTCTTGTTAATATTTGGCAGTTTCTGTTGTTGTTGTTCTTGTTCTTGTTGTTGTTATTGGAGATGGAGTCTCATTCTGTTGCCCAGGCTGGAGTGCAATGGCATGATCTCGGCTCACTGCAAACTCCGCCACCTGGGTTCAAGTGATTCTCCTGCTTAAGCCTCCTGAGTAGTTGGGATTACAGACGCCTACCACCACGCCCAGCTAATTTTTTGTGTTTAGTAGAGATGGGATTTTGCCATGTTGGTCAGGCTGGTCGGCAGTTTCTTTCATCATCATACATTCCCCTATTTATTGTGAGGTTTTGATTAGAGGTCCAGAGCTTTAAAACAGTTGATTCTGACAGGTTTTGTTAAATTTATCATTGCTTTTGTAGAGGGACTGAATTTTGGAATTCTTACCATCATTGTTGATGTCGTCCTTAGGTCTGTACTCTTAATCACTTCCGTTTAGCTGTTCTGTTGTGAGTTGCTGTGTACCCTGACTCTTACTTCTTCTTCATCCTTATTTCACGTGTTTTCTGTTATGTTTTGTTATCCAGACAAACTGACCGTTTTTAGTTCTTTAAGCTGGTGCCACCATGTTTCTTCTTACTGTGATATCTTCTCGTTCCTGACAAATCCACTTTTCTCTGCTATCCCATGTATCTAATTCAGATTTTTCTCTGTAACTCAATCATTGTTGATTCCTGAGCAAAGATCCTGTGACTTCACAAAGTAGGCCAATTATGCATATCATATTCCTTAGCACTATATATGCATCCTTGTAAAACTTTCATGGTTATATTTCCGTTTGATTCTGTTTTACTTTGGTTAAATGAGGCCAAATTCTGTGTTCTTTTGTATTAATCTGGTCTCATGCTACTAATAAAGACATACTGAGACTGAGTAATTTATAAAGGAAAGAGGTTTAATGGACTCACAGTTCCACATGCTGGGAGGCCTCACAATCATGGCAGAAGATGAAGGAAAAGCGAAGGGATGTCTTACATGATGGCAGGCAAGAGAGCATGTGCAGGGGACTCCCCTTTATAAAACCATCAGTTCTCATGAGACTTATTCACTATCACAAGGACAGCGGAAAATCCCACCCCCATGATTCAATTGCCTCCCACTCTGTACCTCCCAAGACACATGGGGATTATTACATTTCAAGGTGAGATTTGGGTCAGGACATAGCCAAACCATATCAGTCTGCCTCTGGCCCCTGCAAAATCTCATGCACTCAAGTTTCAAAATCAATCATGTCTTCTAACAGTTCCCCAAAGTCTTAATTCATTTTAGCCTTAACCCAAAAGTCCAAGTCCAAAGTCTCATCTGAGACAAGGCAAGTCCCTTCCACCTATAATGCTGAAAAATCAAAAGCAAGTTAGTTACTTCCTAGGTATAATGGGGGTACAGGCATTAGGTAAATATACCCATTTCAAATGGGAGAAATTGGCCAAAAGGAAGGGCTACAGGTCTCATGCAAGTCTGAAATCCAGCAGGGCAGCCAAAACTTAAAGCTTCGTAATGATCTCCTTTGACTCCATTTCTTCCATCTAGGTCACCCTGATGCAAGAGGTGGGTTCCGATGGCCTCAGGCAGCTCTGCCTCTGTGGCTTTGCAGGGTACAGCCCCCCTCCAAGCTGCTTTCATGGGCTGGCATTTTGTGTCTTGTCTTTTCTAGGTGCATGGTGCAAGCTGTCAGTGGATCTACCATTCTTGGGTCTAGAGGACAGTGGCCCTTTTCTCACATCTCCACTAGGCAGTGCCCCAGTGGGCACTCTGTGTGGGGGCTCCAACTCCACATTTCCCTTCCACACTGACCTAGCAGAGGTTCTCCATGAGGGCCCTGCCCCTGCAGCAAACTTCTGCCCAGATATCCAGGTGTTTCCATACATCCTTTGAAATCTATGCAAATCTCAATTCTTGACTTTTATGCACCTGCAGGCCCAAAACCATGTGTAAGCCTCTAAGGCTTGCAGCTTGCACCCTCTGAAGCAATGGCCTGAGCTCTATGTTGCCCCCTTTTAGCCACACCTGGGACATAGGGCATCAAGTCCCAAGACTGCGCAAAGCAGCATGGCCCTAGGCCTGGAACACAAAACCATTTTTTCCTCCTAGGCCTCTGGGCATGTGATGGGAGGGGCTGCTATGAAGACCTCTGACATGCCCTGAAGGCATTTTCCCCATTGTCTTGGTGATTAACATTTGGCTCCTCATTACTTAGGCAAATTTCTGCAACCAACTTGAGTTTCTCCTCAGAAAATGGGTTATTCTTTTCCATTGCATCATTGGGCTGCAAAGTTTATGAACTTTTATGCTCTACTTGCCTTTTAAATATAAGTTCCAATTCCAAACCATATCTTTGTGAATACATAAAATTGAATGATTTTACAGTACCCAAGTCACTTCTTGAACACTTTGCTGCTTAGAAGTTTCTTCTGCCAGATACCCTAAATCATCTCTCTCAAGTTCAAAGTTCTACAAATCTCTAGGGTAGGGTTAAAACGTCACCAGTGTCTTTGCTAAAATATAGCAAGAGTCACCTTTATTCCAGTTTCCAACAGGTTCCTCATCTCCATCTCAAAGCACCTCAACCTGTACTTTATTGTCCATATCACTGTCAGCATTTTGGTCAAAACCATTCCACAAGTCTCTGAGAAGTTCCAACTCTTCCCACATCTTTCTGTCTTCCTCTGAACCCTCCAAACTGTTCCAACCTCTGCATGTTACCCAGTTCCAAAGTCACTTCCATATTTTTGGGTATCTTTACAGCAGCACCCCACTCTACTGGTGCCAATTTACTATATTAGTTCATTCTCATCCTGCTAATAAAGACATACTCAAGACTGAGTAATTTATAAAGAAAAGAGGCTTAATGGACTCACAGTTCCGCATGCTGGGGAGACCTCACAATCATGGTGGAAGACGAAGGAAGAGCAAAGGGACATCTTACATGGTGACAGGCAGGAGAGCATGTGCAAGGAATTTTTCTTTATAAACTATCAAATCTCATGAGGCTTATTCACTATCATGAGAAAAACATGCCCTCATGTTTCAATTACCACCCACTGGGTTCAAGCCATATTATCATTTATCATCACAGTGTTACCCTCACTACCTAGCAGAGTGTCTAGTGCATGGTAGGTACATGGTAAAAATGTACCTAATGAAGAGTGAATTTTTTTTTCCAATATTTCTTTTTCTGGATTTGGTGATACTTTTAAAAATAAAATCACAGTCATTAAAAATCGCAAGTAGTCTTTTTGATGTAAACAATAAGGATAAAAATGCAAAAATCTGAGCCTATAAAAAGTTTAAAAAAATAGTTTTGCAGAGAGGTTTTCCCAAGGCTATAGGATTATATCACATCAATATGGAGGCTTATAGATGAGAGGAAGAAAGATACAATTATTGATATGGTTTGCCTTTATGCCTCCCCCTCAAATCTCATCTTGAATTGTAGCTCCCATAATTCCCATGTGTTGTGGGAGGGACCCAGTGCAAGATAATTGAATCATGGGGGCAGTTTTCCCCATACTGTTCTCATGGTAGTGAATAAGCCTCATGAGATCTGATGGTTTTTTAAGGGATTTCCTCTTTCTCTTGGTTCTCATTCTCTCTTGCCTGCCGCCATGTAAGATGTACCTTTTGCCTCCCACCATGATTGTGAGAATTCCCCAACCATATGGAACTGTGAGTCCATTAAACCTATTTTTCTTTATAAATTACCCAGTCTTGCATGTCTTTATCAGCAGCATGAGAGCAGACTAATACAATTATTGTTTTTGACTTCTGTGCTATTTCATTTCACTGGAATTCAGAAACAGATGTAAACAAAGATTTGTCTAGTGCTTCACAAATGAAGGAAAAAAATATTGTAAATCTCATGGTATATTTCTTAATACTTGAAAGCTACATTTCTTAGTCTGAAAAAAAGTTTCTCTAAACTCAGTAGAAGAAAATGTTATCTTTTCTTTTCAGCTGCTAATACTCCAGCATCTTTACAAGCAGACTTGGCAAACACTCTACTATATTTTAATCACCAAGATAATTTAGGTTGTGAACTATTCTGTATGGTTTTACCAATCACCAATTTTCTCTATTTTTCCTCTACTGAAAATCAACATTCCGGTTTATTTGGAACCATTGTTTTAATCTTTGTCAAATCTGGCAGCATGAACCATGTTTCCTGTATTGGCAAATGCCTACCATCCAAATATATGTATGTGTGCTTATATGTCTAAACATCTCCAGAAATGATTACAGCTTTACTGTTTCTTGATTTAAATGCCATATAAACCTACTTGAAGATTATGAGCCCCCTAAAATATTTTATGTGCTTCAAATCATGCAAAATTTGGAAGATATATCTTCTATGTAAATTAAGGCTTGCTGAGATCATAATAAAGAAATAACTTCTCTGTCTTCATTTTTCTCCACCTCTCATTAGCATTCTGAAGTTGTCTTATTTTACTTTTTGGAAAAAAAAGTTATCTTGATTTCTATCACTGTTCACTTGCTTTGTTTTCATTTTGGATCCTTGGTATTTTGCAAGATTTTTCTACCCTTTTCTCTTCTCTACCCGACCACAAAAGATAGATTGCCCTACTCCTTATTCCTCTTTAATTTTTTTCTCCATTCTAGGCTAGATGATTTTATTTAGAATTCATTGTTTATATGACACATATTTAACAGTATTTCTGGTGAGACATCTGAAGTTTGGTGATTTAGAACTGTAACGATTTGTCTTTCTCACAAATCTTGAGTGGCTAGAGTAAAGACTTAGGCCTGGGACTAGGTTGAAGTCTGATTCATGTGTTTTTCATTTCAGGATCAACAGGTACCCAGAGTATGCTCTTCTCATGACAAATGGCAAAATCCCAATGAGTGAAAATATTTGATGTCTAATAAAGCCTCAGCTTACAACTGGTACATTGTCATCTCTACTCATGTTTTGTTTTTGTTTTGCTGAAGAAACTCACATATCCAAAACCAAAATCATACATTCAAAAAACACATTCTTACCTCAGTGAGGTATCACAAAACCAGGGAGGTAAAGAAAAAATGTTAGCATCAAATATGCTTCATACCATCTGCATGCCAATAACTAAATTTTTTTTCCTGTAATTGACTTATTTAGAAGTTGGTCTTATGTATCCCTATCAGGGTATGTTTAAGAGATGAATTAAATACAAAAGTCAGAAATAAAACACTTTCTGCTTTATAACTATCCCCCATACTATCTAATGTTCATTTATCTTCTCTTAGTATTTTCAATTTACCTAATTACTAAAGGAAAATATTAAGATACTTGTTTAATTCCTTTCTCTTACTCAACTACCACACACATAGCCCCCAGATCTAGTTTATTCTATTTAAAAATATAAACTGAACTTATCCACTATTATCTAATTCAGCTGTGACATCCTCAGTAAAGGTTACCAAGATCTCTCAATGGAGACAATGTAAAACCTTTCATAGTTGGTCTCAGTGCTTCTACTCTTGCTTCTACTCTTCAATCTCCACACAGCAAGTCAGAATATTTTTAGTGTATATTTAAATCAGATAATATTTTTAACCTACTGGCATGTCAGTGTCCTTAGCATGACATCTAAACTTCTGACCACATCCCAGAAAACTCTATATTTTCTGTATTTGGCCTATCTTTCCAGCTTCTGGTTTATTTTTACACTTTGACATCCCTAGCTCCATGCTCATAAAGATCGTTTGCATTTCTTATTCTTTCAGACTAAAAGGCTTTTCATATGGCTCTTTTCATTGCATTCCTGCTTATTTCCTATATGTCAACAGAACTATTACTTCCTCAAAAATGCCTTCTGTGATTACCCTAATTAAAGGAGCTCCCTTCCTTTGCTCCAGCCCGTCTCATCATCTGGTTTCAGGTCTGTTTTGATCATCCCTAAAAATGAGCAACTAGAAGAGTGTTTGACAAATATTTATTGGCATTTTTTAGAATGCTAGGCCATCTTTACAGTAAATTTCTCATTGTTTAATACCTTATTATAAGTGATCATATAATTTCTAATGTATAATTCATTTTTCTTTGAAAAAAGCATTGCTATACATAATACTTCATCTTCATGGAATGAAATGACCATAGACATTAGATTTGGATAATTGTCTAAAATTGCTACAGTCTTAAATTTATTCAGGTTAAAACAATCAAGAAATTAAGTGACTGTTTAAAATGATACATTGAGTTTGGATTCCAGCTGACAATCCTCCAAGATTCATTTACTTCTCAAGAGCACAACATATTGTTAAAAATAACCACCAGATCATTTAGTATTCTACTATCTCCTGATCGGATACACTATTAAAATATTTTGATTGCCTCATTCACCTGGTCTTGCTTAATGGACCATAAGTATTAAGCAGTATTGCTGAGGCTCATTTGTTCAATACATTCTAGATTGAGAGGTTGATTAATTGATTAGTATGACCTAGCAATTCTCATTTAAATGTGGGCTTATTCAAATTAGGTTTTCACTAATTTTGTGATATGTTTTGCATGTTAATGGAATTAGATAATAATTTTGATTTTTACTTGCCAAATTTGTCATAGGAATAAGTTACTAAAAGCATATCATCAAAAATAAATTTTGATGTATAATATATGTATACATATTATATTATAAAATATTTGCAAGCCAAGTAAATTATAACAGTTTAAGATTGTGTTTTTATTGTTTATATATCAGATGCTTTTGATGACTGATCACATCATTTTAAAATTATTTTTTATATTCTATTTATACTAAACTTCATAAAGGTTTTTCCTAGAAATTACTGCTAATATGTTAAACATTCTGTACTATTTTTAAACTCAATATATTCTAATATAAAAATGTGCCTTAACCACAATAGCAAACTAGTGCTTCTCACACCACAATGTTTCAAAATTCACAAAAATATTATTTACTTTTACCTTATATTTTTGGTAAATTAAATATATTTGTGTACATTAATGCTATAAAGTAGTAATACAATTTGTATCATTTTATAGCATGGATTATAAACTTATTCATATTTCATGATACAATGCATATATTCACACTATAAATAACTTATATATGTATGGGTATTCATACAATTTGAACATTAGTCATATAGACGTGTACAGAACCCACACTTCACTCATGTAAACACTTTTTACTCATTTAAGACAAACCTCAAAAAGAAATTACTATGCATATATAAAATATAAATATATAAACATGAACAAAAGATGAACTTAATTATATAATATTTGCTTTTGTCCTTAATTTAAGAACTGTGAACATTTGCCACATTTATTTACAATTTATATGAAAAATTAGAACACTTTATATGTAAGTACATCTTTGTGTACCATGCTGACAAAAGAACACTGTGAAGACTTACATTGAAATTACAGGTTTGGTTCTAGACCACTGCAATAAAATATTTTTGTTCTCTAGTGCATATAAAGTTATGTTTAAAGTATACTATATTCTGTTAAGTCCACAGTAATATTATATCTACAAAAACAGTATGTATAGCTTAACTGAAAAATTCTTCATTGTTAAAATATGCTAACAATCATCTGAACCTTCAGCAAGTCATAGTCTTTTAGCTTGTGGAGGGTCTTGTCTCAATGTTGATGGCTGCTGGCTATCAGGATGGTGGTTGCTGAATGCTAAAGAGACTGTGCCAAATCTTAACATAACACAACAATGAAATTTACCACATCGGTGCACAGTTCCTTTTACACAAGATTTCTCTGTGGCATGTGTTGCTGTTTGACAGCGTTTTACCCACAGTGGAGCTTCTTTCAAAATTTAAGGCAATTCCCTTTAAGCCTGCCATGGTTTCATGAACTAAGTTTTTGTAAGATTTTAAATAATTTGTTGTTATTTCAACAATGTTCACAGCACCTTCACAAGAAGTACATTCCATCTTAAGAAACCATTTTATTTGCTCCTTCATAAAGAACTCCTTATCTATACAAGTTTTATCATGAGATTGCAGCAGTTCAATCGCATCTTTAGGCCCTTCTTCTAATTCTAGTTCTCTTGTTATTTCTACCGTATTTGTATTTCCTTCTTCCACCGAAGCCTGAACACCTTAAAATGATTCATAATGATTGAAATTAACCTCTTTTAAACTCCTGTTAATATTGATAATTTGACCTCCTCCCATGAACCACACATTCTTAATGGCATCTAGAATGGTGAATCCTTTCCAGAATGTTTCAATATGCCAAGATCCATAAGTGGAATCACTATCTATGGTATCTATAGCCTTATAAAATGTATTTCTTAATAATATTGAAAGTTATAATTACTCCTTTTTCTATGGACTGCAGAATGAATGTTATGTTAGCAGGGATGAAAACAATATTAATCTCCTTTCACCTCTTCATCAGATCTCTTGGGTAAGCAGGTACTTTGTATATTAACAGTAATATTTTGAAAGGAGTCTTTTTTTCTCACCAGCAGTTCTCAACAGTGGGCTTAAAATATTGAGTAAACCATCCTGTAACCAGACGTGCCATCATCCAGGACTTGTTCCATTTATAGTGCACAAGCAGAGTAGAAATAACATATTTCTTCAAGGCCCCCAGGGTTTTCAGAACGGTATTCTGAATTGGCTTCAAATTGGCTTCAATTTAGTCATCAGCTGCATTGGCCTCTAACAAGAGTCAGCCTGTGATTTGAAGCTTTGAATTTAGTCTATGATGTCTCCTCCATAGCTGTGAAAATCTTAGATGATGTCTTTTTCCAATATAAGGCTTTTTTGTCTACGTTGAACATTTGTTGTTTAGTGTAGTTACCCTCAGCAGTGATCTCAGGTAGTTTTCCTGGATAGCTTGTCACAACTTCTACTCAGCACTTGCAACTTCACCTTGCACTTTTCTATTAATGGGGATGGGTTCTTTCCTTAAACCTTAAGATCCAACTTCTGCTACCTTCGAACTTTTCTTCTGTAGCTTCCTCACCTCTCTCCCGCCTTCCCTGAATTGAAGACACTTAGGGCCTTGCCCTGGGTTAGGCTTTTTAATAAGGGAATGTTGTGACTGTTTTAATATTTTATACAGACTGTTAAAAACTTTCTCCATATCAGTAATAAGGGTGTTTCACTATCTTATCATTCCTTGTATCACTGAAGTAACACTTTTAATTTCTTTCACCAAATTTTTCTTTAAATTCACAACTTGGCTGCTTGGTACAAGAGGCCTAACTTTTTCAGCCTATATCAGCTTGCTTGCTTTTTTTTTTTTTTTTTTTTTTTTTTTTTTGAGACGGAGTCTTGCTCTGTCGCCCAGGCTGGAGTGCAGTGGCGCAATCTCGGCTCACTGCAAGCTCCACCTCCCGGGTCCACACCATTCTCCTGCCTCAGACTCCCGAGTAGCTGGGACTACAGGCACCCGCCACCATGCCCAGCTAATTTTTTATATTTTAGTACGGACGGGATTTCACCATGTTAGCCAGGATGGTCTCTGTCTCCTGACCTCGTCATCTGCCTGCCTCGGCCTCCCAAAGTGCTGGGGTTACAGGCGTGAGCCACCACGCCCGGCCAGCTTTCAGTATCCCTTCCTCACCATGCTTAATTATTTCTAGCTTTTGATTTAACCTGAGAGGTGCACTACTCTTCCTTTCACTTGAACACTTAAAGGCCATGTAGGATTATTACTTAACCTAATTTTACTATTGTTGTGTCTCATAGAATAGGCCTGAGGAGAGGCAGAGAAACAGATGAATGGGTGGTTGGTGGAACAGTAATGACATACACAACATTTAGCAATTAAGTTATCTGACTTATGTGGTTGTAGTTTGTGGCAATTTGAGACAATTCCATTAGTAACATAAGAGATCGCTGAACACAGAGCATCATAACAGATAAAATAATAATGAAAAGTTTGAAATATTGTGAGAATTGCCCAGCCGTCACACAGAGACATGAAGTGAGCATATGCTGTTGGAAAAGCCAATACATGCTCAGTGCAGGGTTTCCACAAACATTCCATTTGTTCAAAAACTCAGCATCTGCAAGGCACAATTAAGCAAAGAATAATAAAACAAGGCATGTCTGTATTGTAAAAACAAAGGAACGTTTTTCTCAAAATTTTAATGCAAATACCTAAAAACAACTTTGAAGGTCACCGCTGGGATTCAGCTAAAAGCCTCCAGCAGAGTTGCCGCAGGTGCGCACACGGATGACAGTTCATCGATTCTGTCAGAACCACTTTTCCATGAGCAGCACCCTCTCCATCTCAAAATTCTATTTTAAGTAATGTCACATATTTTGTTCAGTTTATCAGCATCACATGCAAATATATGCTAATTTTGTTTAAAAGAAGTGTTTCTGACTATAAAATAACATGCCTCACTATAAATAATTCCTCTACATCAAAGGAAAAAAAAATAAAGAAAAACAGTTGAATAATCCTGCCACTTAAATGTAACGAACATCGATCGATTTTATATATTAAAATTACATAAAATATAAGCCCCATTTACTTGTCCAAAATTGAAAGCATCTCAATTAATTATTAATATATTTTTACATATTATCATAAGAATGTTGTCTAGTGTGATAAATTTATTTTCTAAATTATAGGTTTAAATGCTTTATAATTTTTATGAATATAACTTATTTGAGTAGTACAATATTAATGAATTTTTTAACATGTCCTCTTAAGATAACTCTTCTTATACATAAATTTTCAAGAGCATCTCTCCTTATTTTCTAAAAATAATTTCTTAGAACAGCACTGTCTAGTAGGTCTTTCTGTAGTAATCAATGTGTTCTATATCTGTATTATATAATTCAGTAGCCACTGGCAACTCTGGCTATTAAGCCCTTGAAATGTGACTACTCAGACTGACAAATTTATTTTTAAATTGTATTTAATTTAGATCAATTAAAATTTATGTTTAAATAGTAACACATAACTAGTGGCTAACATATGAGAAAGTTCATTGAATATATTAAGAAAACAGTGGGCCAAAAAGTATCAAGCTTTCTTTAGCTGTAATTAAAATATTAGATTCAGCTGTATAGATCCCAGATATCTTCTATTTTCTTCTTAAAGAAAAAATTTTATCTGATTACTTCCTCTGTTTCAATTCTTAATTTCTTCCTGGAAAATACCTTTCATTCTTATGTTAGACCACCATATTCTTTCTTTTCCAATTGTCAGTTTATCTCTCATCATTTTGTTTGTATTCTTGTATAGTACTCAAATTGTCCACATACTTGATAAAATTCCCATCTCCATCCATTTTAATGGCATTATTACAAAACTTTATTTCCAGCCTTTCTTATGTATTTGTTTCACACTATTTGGTGACTTTTAAATTTTTTTTTTCTGGCATAAATAATTTTCTGAATCTCTATGTCTATGTTTTGTTTTCCTTGCTTCACAGTAAACACAATGGTGTTTTCCATAATCACAGTGGTGTTCAATTTTGTACTTATTTGTCCATAATTTAGATGCTAAGATCTATTATGCCTTTACCTCACCCAAAAGACTTCATATATGGATGAAATTTTAACCTACTTTGGGTTTCCTCTGAGTGATATTCGAGCCTATTCTCATATGGAAGACAGAGTGAATTAATAGTCCTCTCATTCTAGTTTTGGTGTGTGTACCTTGGAGTACACACACAAAAATAATAATCCTAAGTTTGGATAGCTATAGGGGCTTTTTTTTCTGCCCCTCCTACAGATATTCCTTTCTCTCTACTCTGTTTACCAGAACACAATTCACAAGGACAAGTCATACTCTACCTGTCTGCTCCTCTGATTTCTGGAAATTTCTCTCTCTAAATGGGTATGGATAGATGCAAGAATATTTGGTTGAAAATCAGAGTTAGAAAGTCAGTACTTTGGATGACTATATCTTATACCTCAGAGTTAGAGAAGAGTCAGAGAATATATATATAAAGCTTTTGTCTTGTTTTTATTTATAAAGTAAGACCTACAGTCTCTTAACAGTCCTGTTCCATCAAAATTTTTTCTAACAGTATGCCAATAGATGGTTTGCATGTTATGTCTCAGATAGAAAGCTAGTCTTCTATATTTTTCTCTGTGATAGCAGTTTTGGTTGGGATTCTACAAACTACATTTTTCAGATTCTTTTACCAAGTGACTTCCTGTTAGAATATGAAAATAATAGAGATGCTTAAAGGTATCAGCAGCACCAACACAAGCCCTTTCCTAGGAGATATGAATATTCAATTTGTGGTACTTCTCTGAACTTCAAGGTTCCTGTAACTCCAATACTTCTCCTATTCTCCCATCTGTAAGAGTAATAGGTTTTCTTGAAGTTTTTATATTTGGTTAATTCAGGATTTAATATCGCTAATACTCGTGTAAACACTTCCCCATTTTACATTTCCTCTTAAAATTACCTAGGAATAGTTTGTGTTTTTCCAGTTAGACACTGACTAGTATATTTATCTCTCACTTTTCAGTAACCATGTTCGTTTGCTTCGTGTGTGTGTGTGTGTGTGTGTGTGTTTGTACGACTTTATAGGTAAATTAAAACATCAGGAAAGGCTGCATGCAGGGACTTGCTAGTCAAGAGGCCATTATAATCAAGAATTATAAAATATTTATTTTAAAACTTTGTCTAAAACTTAACACTGAGAAATTTAAAATCTCATTAAATATATTATAAAATTATCTACGTTCTTCATGCTACAAGTGATTTTCTATTTTTGCAATTGTCAGTTACATTTAAATTTACCCCCATTATCTTTTTATTCATGATTCCTTTCATGTGGTTTTCCTCTATAATACACTATTATTTATTTTCTTTGCCATGTACTTACAACGCTGCTGTCCCCTTCCAAGCTTTCCACAACTGAGATCATGCCAATTGATTTAATAATATGAGGCTATTTTCCAGTGAGCATAGTAACTGCAGTCTTTGTTTTAATTGTTTGAAAATTATCCTTTTTATCTTAAATGAAATTATTAAACGTCATCATTGGCCAAAATCAATTTTACCAGATATTATGCCTTCATATGTAAGTGGGAAGATAATTCTGCCATGATTCAGACTTTCCTCTATTCTGTCATTATTTAAACCCCCTAAGGAAAAAGAGACAAATAGGATTCCAATGGGAAAGTTCCCATGTAATCAACTCCAACAAACACTGTTTCACAAGAGTCAAGACTGAAACATTATGCCTGTGAAACTCATGAGACTTAGCATATTACGCATTCGCATGTAATTTGTCAATTCTAAAGCACTTTAAAATTTTAGAATTCAATCCTATGCCTGTGTTTATGTCTTCATGTTTTGGACATTTCATGTTTGGTAACATATATCACTGTTTTCCTTTTCTTCTCAGCTGTCATTAATTTGATCCATTTCACTATTAATTTAATATTTTGTCAACTCTCAACTACAGTCTCTGTACAAAGTTAAAATGCTCTACATGTTTTCATTACTTCCCACTGCTCTTATTTCTCTTCTCCTAACTGTTCCTCTCTGTTCATTGTGCTGGATGCAATACAGACTTTCTTACTCTCTTAAAGTCAACCTATTTCCCACCTGGGGCTTTTATATGTGTTGTTCCCTTTGTCTGTAATGCACTTCTCCCATATCTCCACATGGCTACTTCCTTCAACATTACTTAGGTCTCTGAAATTGTTAGCTCCTTAGATTGGTGATCCCTGACCATAGTATGTACAATGCTCCCTCCAGTAACCCTCAGAAAGCTTAGCAGGCTTTCTTGTAACGCATTGCACTTCCTCCACCTGAAAGTATATGTTATATGTTTTGGGTTCTATGTCATCCCCACAAACATGTATGTTCCATCATCTTAGAAACTCTTTCCAGTGCCTATAACAGTGCCTGACACATAATACATATTAAATAATATTTTCAGATTAACAAATGCATAAAACATTAAATTGGGCCAGAAAATCAAGCTGAGGGCTCAAGGATATGAAAATAAACATTCCTTGTTGTGTTTATATTACTCTATATTAAGTGGGGGATCATTAAGTGGGGGATAAAAATGGTATTAATAAATCCTGATTTGTGGAGCAAATAATTGTTTCATTCTCACATATTTTTTCTTTTAATATAGCAGAAAGCTTGGAGTTTTTTCAAGTACTATGATTAGTTCAGTTTACTGAGAGTCCAGTAATAAATATACATAGGAAGTAAAAATTAAAAAAAAAAACTTCCCCACACACTGGGCTTTGCTGCTATTACATTTTACTACCTGATTTATTCCTCACAACCATTTTGTGAAAACTATCAAAATTATTTTTATTATTTTGCATATTAAAAGACAATCTTACCTTAAAGTGCTTCAGGAAACAAAAATAGGGCTTACTTTCAGAAGCCCTGATGCCATTCAGTAAGGCACTGGAATAACATCAAATTAGTTGTAGATTATTATTGTATTTGCAAGTATTTTCAACCTGTTGGGCTTATGTTTTATGTTTAAGTCCTATTTTTGAGGAATTATGAGTAATATATCTTACAATATTATTTTATTCAGGATGCACGTGAGTAGGTTTGTGACTTGAATGTATTGCATAAGGGTGAGGTTTGGGCTTTTAGTATATTCATCATCCAATATTGGACATTACCCAGTAGGTAATTTTTTAAGCATCAATCCCCTCCAACCATATCCACTTTGGGCATCACTGGTGTCTATTATTTCCATCTTTATGTTCCCATTGTTTAGCTCCCACTCATAAGTGAGAAGGTGTGGTACTGATTTTTCTGTTTGTAAGTTATTCATTTAGGATAATGGCCTCCAGCTCTATCCATGTTGCAGCAAAGGAAATGACTTCATTCCTTTTATGGCTGAATAGTATTCATGGTTTAGATATATAACATTTTCTTTATCCAATCAACCATTGATGGACACATAGCTTGATTCCGTGACTTTGCTCTGGTGAACAGCTCTGCAATAAACAGACAAGTGCAGGTATCTTTTTGAGATAATGATTTCTTTTCCTTTGTGTAGATGACCTGAAGTAATATTGCTGGATCAAATGGTAGTTGTAGTTTTAGTTCTTTGATACATCCCCACACTATTTTCCATAGAAGTTATATTAATTTACTTTCCCTCAACTGTTTATAAGTGTTCCCTTCTTCTCTCCACATCCTTGTCAAAATCTGTTGTTTATGCACATTTTAATAATACCCATTCTGACTGGTATAAGATTTCTCAATTTGGTTTAATTTGCATTTCTCTGATGATTCGTGATGTTGAGCATTTTTCATATGTTTGATAGGTACTTGTATGTCTTCTTTTGAGACATGTCTTTTCATTTCCTTTGTCCACTTTTTAATGGGATTGTTGGTTTGACATAATTTGCAAATACTTTCTCCCATTCTGCAGGTGGTCTATATACTTTATTAATTATTTCTTTTGTTAGGTAGAAGCTTTTCAGTTTAATTCCCAGTTATCTATTTTTGTTTATGTTGCATTTGCTTTTAGGGTAGTAGTCATAAAGTCTTTGCTTAGGCCAATGTGGTTTTCCTAGGTTTTCTTCTAGGACTTCTATAGTTTCAGGCCTTACATTCAGATCTTTAATACATCTTGAGTTAATTTGTATATACTGTTAGTGATAGTCCAGTTTCATTGTTATACGTAGACTAGCCAATTTTTCCATCACCATTTTTTAAATGGGGAGTCCTTTCCCTATTGTTTATTTTTGTTGACTTTGTCAAAGATCAGTTTGCTGTAGGTATGTGGCTTTACTTTTAGGTTGTCTACACTTTTCTACTGATCTATGTGTTTATTTTTATATCAGTACTTGATCTTTTGGTTCGTATACCCTTGTAGTATGTGTTATCGTCAGGTAATGTGATGTCTCCGGCTTTGTTCTTTTAGTTTAGGATTGTTTTTGCTATTTAGGCTCTTGTGTGGTTTCATATGAATTTTACAATTGCTTTCTCTAATCCTGTGAAGAATGACATTGCTACTTGATAGGAATTGCATTCAATCTGTAGACTGCTTTGGGCACTATGGTACTTTTAACAATATCAATTCTTCCAATCCATGAACATGAGATGTCTTTTAATTTGTTGTGTCATCTACAATTTTTTTTTTTCATCAGTGTCTTTTAGTTCTTCTTGTAGAGATCTTCCACTTAATTCTTTAAGTGTATTCCTAGGTATTTTTTGTTTGTGCATGTGGCTATTTTAAACAGGATTGAGTTTTTTATATGGTTCTCAGCTCGAATGTCATTAGTGTATGGAAATGCTACTGACTTTTGTACATTGATTTTGAATCTTGAAACTTTACTGCCTTTATGTATCAACTCTAGTACTACTTTGGAGTTATTAGGGGGTTCTAGTTATAAAACCATGCCATCAGTGAATAGAGATAATTTGACTTCCTGTTCTCTAATTTGGATGCCTTTTATTTATTTTCCTTGCCTGATTGCTCTAGCTACGAATTCAACTACTATGTTGAATAGTATTTTTGAGAGGGAACATCCTTTTCTTGGTCCAGTTCTTAGGGGGAATGCTTTCAACTTTTCCCCATTGAGCAGATTGTTACCTGTGGGTTTGTCACATATGGCTCTTATTATTTTGATGTATTTTCCTTCAATTGCTAGTTTGTTGAGGGTTTTCATCTTGAAGAAATGTTGGATTTTATCAAATACTTTTTCTGAATCTATTAAGACAATCAAATGGTTTTCGTTTTTAATTTGGTGTATGTGGTGGATCACATTCATTGATTTGCAAATGTTGAATTGCCCTTATATCCCTGGAATAAAACCCACTTGACTATGATGAATCATCTTTTTGATGTCAGATTCAGTTTACTTGCATTTTGTTGAGGATTTTTACATCCATGTTCGTCAGAGATAATGGTCTGTAGTTATTTTTGGTGTTGTCATTGCATGATTTTAGTATTACAGTGATACTTGTTTCAGAGAATGAGTTAGGGAGGAATCCCTTCCCAAATTTTTGGAATAGTTGCAGTAAGATTGGTAGCAGCTCTTGTTTGTGCATCTGGTAAAAATCAGCTCTGAATCTGTTGGTCCTGGGCTTATTTTTATAATTTTTTTTTTAATTGATTCAATTTTATTACTCATTATTGGTCTGTTCAGGATTTACATTTCTGCTTGGTTCAATTTTCGGAGGTTGTATGTTTCCAGGAATTATTTACATCCTTTAAGTTTTCTAGTTTGTGCACATACAGCTGATGTTCACACTAATCTTTGGTGATCTTTTCTATTTCTGTGGCATGTATCAGATGTGATGTCACCTTTATCATTTATGATTGTGCTTATCTGAGTCTTCTGTCTTTTTTTGGTTAAACTATCTAGCAGTCTATTGATTTTGTTTATCCTTTCCAATAAACAACTTTTCATTTTGTTGATCTTTTGTATCATTTTTAAGTCTCAGAATCATTTAATTCTCTTCTGATATCTGTTATTTCTTTTCTTCTGCGAGCTTTGACTTTGTTTCCTCTTGCTTTTCTAGTTCCTTGAGATGTGACATTAGGATTTTAAATTGAGATTCTTCTCTTTTTGATGTAGGGACTTAACACAATTAGCTTTAGTGTTATCACAGCTTTTGCTATATCACAGAGGTTTTGGTATGTTGTGTTTCCATTTTTCTTTGTTTCAAAACTTTTGGATTTCTTCCTTAATTTTATTGTTTACCTGAAAGTCATTCAGGAGCAAATTGTTTTGTTTATATGTACTTATGTGGTTTTGAGAGTTCTTCTTGGTAATGATTTTTACTTTTATTCTGCTCTAATCTGAGAAAATACTTCATGTGATTTTGATTTTTTGAATTTATAGAGATGCTTTATGACCAAGCATATGGTCAAATGTTCCATGTGTAGATGAGAAAAATGTATTCCCTCTGGTTGTTCAGTGGAATGTTCTGTAAATGTCTATTAGGACCACATAGTTTAGAGTATAGTTTAAGTCAGGGTTTGTTTACTTTGTACTTCGATTAGCTGTTTAGTGTTGTCAGTGAGGTGTTGAAGTTCCCAATTAATATTGTATTGCTATTAATCTCTTTTCTTAGGTTAAGTAGAAATTGTTTTATAAACCTGGGTGCTCTGGTATTGGATGCATGTATATATTTAGAATAGTTAAATATTCTTGTTGTATTGAAACCTTTATCATTATATAATGCCATTCTTTGTTAATGTTTTTAACTGTTGTTTCTTTGAAGTCTGTTTAATATAAGAATGGCTAGTCATTCAGACTTTTGTTTTCCATTTGTGTGCTATATCTTTTACTACCCCTTTACTTTGAGTATATATGTGTCTAGCCATTAGACCCCCTATAGGTTCTCTCATAGGCAGCCGACAGTTGGAGATAGATATATATATATATTCTTCTAGAATATATAAAGAATATATAAATATATTCTTCTAGAATATATAAATATATTCTTCTAGAATATATAAATATATTCTTCTAGAATATATAAATATATTCTTCTAGAATATATAAATATATTCTTCTAGAATATATAAATATATTCTTCTAGAATATATAAATATATTCTTCTAGAATATATAAAGAATATATAAATACATTCTTCCAGAATATATAAATACGTTCTTCCAGAATATATAAATACGTTCTTCCAGAATATATAAATACGTTCTTCCAGAATATATAAATATGTTCTTCCAGAATATATTATTCTGGAATGTAGAATGTTTAGGCTATTTATGTACATGGTTAATATTTAAGTAGAATTATTAATATTTAAGTTCAAGGGTATTTAACTGGAATGTTAATATTGATATGTGAGGTTTCATTTTATTCCTGTTATAGTTTTGTTAGCTAGTAACCTTGGAGTCTCAATTGTGTAATTGCTTTGTGTAATGTGTGAGCTTTCTTATATATGCTTTTATGATGGAGAGTATTGTCCTTTTATTTCCATGTTTAGAACTCTTTTGAGCATTTCTTATAGGTCCAATCTGGAAGAAATTCCCTTAGTGTTTCCTCACTGGGAAAGACTTTATTTTTTCTTCGTTTATGATGCTTAATTTGGCAGGATATAAAATTCTTGGCTTTTTTTTTTTTTAAGGAGGCTAAAAATAGGGCCTCAATCTCTGGCTTCCTCTAGGAAGTCTGCTGTAGTCTGATGGCATTTTCTTCATTCAGATGATTTGATACTTCTCTCTAGCTTCCTTTAAGATTAGTTCTTTCATGTTGACTTTGTATAATCTTATGACTGTATGCCTTGGTAATGTACATTCTGTATAATATATTCCAGGTATTCTCTAAATTTATTGTATTTGAATGTCTACATCTCTAGCAAGATTGGGGAAATTTTCCTCAATTATTTTCTCAATTATGTTTTTCATAGTTTTACTAGTTCTCTCTCATTAATGCCTATAAGCCGTAGATTTGGTCGCTTTACATAACCCATATTTTTCAAAGCCTTTGTTTGCTTTCTGAAATCCTTTTTGTTACTGTTTTTTTCTGACCATATTGATTTGAAAGACTGGTATTCAAGCTCTGAAATTCTTCTGCTTTTTTCTACTCTACTGTTAAAGCTTTCAGCTGTGTTTTAAATTTTCTTCAGTTTTTTTTTATTTCCAGTTATTTAAAAAATATATCTATTTTGTCTTTTATCTCATGAATTGTTATTCCACTTTCTTTGAGTTGGTTTTTAACCTTCTCTTGAATCTCACTGAGATTACTTACAATGCATATCTTAAATTCTTTGTTTGAATTTGGTCATTTCAATGTTTTGATTTTGGTTATGATCCATTGCTAGGAAGCCAGGATGGTCCATAACATGTGTCATAATATCCGTTATTTTGTTGTACTGGAGTTCTTGGACTGGTTTCTTTTCATATGTAGATGCTGTCATTTATTATTTTTAAATTAACTTTCATTTACATGACTTTTTTCTTCCTCCTTGAGAGTGTGACTGTTGCACATGTCAGGTAGAGTCCTTTGCTTTGCGTTTATGGGGCCAAGGCTCTGTATAAATTCCTTGGTTATAGATAGCCTGAGTGTAGTATAGTAGTGTAGGTTTTCTTAAGTGCTAGTTTTTTTGTGGGTTGTGGTAGCAATATGCTGTGTATGTGGTCAGGCTCACTGTCTCCTACAGAGATGGTGAGGTACAGGGCTTGGGTTGCATATCTAGTTCCCTAGCACTGCACACTGCTGTAAGCAAGAATTATGTTGGGTTGTGCAGCTCACCCTACCAGCAAGTAGGTGACAATTTTGGCTAAAAGCCAGTTAAATGGTATAAACTGGTTTCAGCAGTTGTGATGGGCCATGCAGTTTGACCTCCTAGCCAGTAGATGATACTTCCAGGCAAGAGGTAATTGTGGTGGTGGCAGTGGAATTTTTACATAGCCTTTGTTGATCAGGAGTAGTACTGGGATATTTCTGGTGATGGGCAGTGCCTGGACTCTCAGGGTTTCCATCCTGTGCTCTGCCACTAAGGTGGCTTGAGAGGGCAAAGCTGTGCGGCACTGGGTCTGGTGAGCTGGCAGCCAGGCTCTCTGAGGCAGGTGCAAGTACCAACCTTAGCAGGTGTCTAGTGGAAGCTCTCAGGCCTCATGGACGACCCTCCAGAAAGGGTTGGAGGTGCCTCTCCTGCACCACAGAGCTGGCTCAGAGGAAGAGCCAACTCATACACCCTCTTATTGGTGAGTCTCCCTCTGGCATCCACTCTGGCAACTGGCCCTACAAGTTAGTCTGACCCAAAACCATTTGTGCCCAGATCACAAAGCTATTCTAGGCATCTCGATGGTGAGATTTCCTGCAGCAGAAACCACAGCTGTCAGGCAATAAGCTTTTCAGTCAGGTCTAAAGAAGGGAGGGGTACCCAGCTTCCTCATCACCATACCTTTCTCTATGTTTTGACAGTGTGGACTCCTCCCCTGCTGGAGATCAGGCCGCAGATGTCATCTTCATACATCCCAAACTGTGTGCTAGAGTTCTGGGGAACTGGAACCAGGCCAAAGGGTTTGTCCTCTAGCCGCTAGGGGTCAAGCTGTGATGAGGGTGAACTTGTCCAGGCCACCAACAGACTACTCAGGGAAATGGAAGATATGCTTCACAGCTTTCACAAACAGCTAGACAAGACATTTCTGAATTTATATATATGTAATATTATGTATAATTTTCCAAGTTATTTTGTACCCATTCTATTATTAAATATCAGCCATCAGAATAAATAGCAAAATATATTGTGTCAATATACAGAATACCCGATTTCCTTTATTTTTTATTACTTTGATAGTGGTGTAATATGAGTTTTAATATTTTAAATAAAATTAGCATGATACATTATTCATCAGAGATTATATATGTCTCAGCATGTAAGCCATGGTTGTAAAATACATTTTTTTTTTTTAGATGGAGTCTCGCTCTGTCACCCAGGCTGGAGTGCACTGGTGCAATCTTGGTTCACTGTAACCTCTGCCTCCTGGGTTTAAGCTATTCTCATGCCTCAGCCCCCTGAGTAGCTGGGACTACAGGTGTGCGTCACCACGCCCAGCTTATTTTTGTATTTATGTAGAAATGGGGTCTCGCCATGTTGCCCAGGCTGGCCTCAAACTCCTGGCCTCAAATGATGTACCTGCCTCGGCTTCTCAAAGTGCTGGAATTACAGGCATGAGATACTGTGCACAACCACACACACACACACACAAAATCATTTTTTTGTGTGGCTTAGCAATGTTCATGACCTCCAGACCACAAGCAATGACATCTGTTCTGGACCATATAGGTGTTATTGCTTTGAAATAGTTATAGGACAAAACAGAATAAGAGAGATAAACTTTATCCATGGCATAAAATACATATTTGAAATCCATATATATTTTAGATAGCTCACACTAAATGAACAAATTATGTAAAATTCAGAAATGGCAGCAATGGATAATAATTAGTTATACATTAGCATAAGATGGTGGAAGATGACATTATTCACCACGTTATTTGTAGAAAGATTTTTCAATTTAGTCATCCTCTAATGATTAACCTAGCCAATGGAGCCACTTAGAGCACATAAAGAAGAGTATTAAAACTATAACTAATTTATAAAGGAAATTAGTTACATTATTAAAATATATCAGGCATATTTACTACTTATTGTATATGTGTCCTTTTAGTAATAAAATGCTGGAATTTAGTAAAAGACAAAGCATTTAGAAGACATTTATTCATTTATGTTAACATACTAAGTCAATAATTTGTGCTTTTAAATTTAAATGTTATGTCAGATATTTTTTTCTGCAGCCAGCAGTGTTTCCCCTCCACCACAGAAAGCCTCTAATCTTTATGTGCACCTTTCATAGCAAGATTTTACCTATAGTAAACTGAGAACTTTCTTTAGGCTCAGGTGTGGTCTTATTCTATTGTAGTAAACAATATATCGTCAATAGATAGTTATAACTAATTTTTATGTATCATCCATAATACATCTATTCAAAATAAAGTATCACTATGTTCTAATATCTTAAAAGAGACAGCCCCTAGAAAACTTTAAAAACTGTCATTTTTACATAAAACATGAAAAACAGTCTTTAGAATACATTTTTATTCTCATTTTCAGGCAAAATGAATTACAGTTTTTCTTCTGTTTCTATTCCCTAATTTTTCTTCTATTTGTTCAGTTTATTTGATTTTATTACTATTTAATTTTTTCTTAAATGCAGATATGAACAGGAAGCTTGAGAAAATTTTGTGGCTAAGCAATTTTTTAATATTTAGAATTTCGAGAAATATGAAAGATGTTAGAGCAATTTAAAGAACAGAGGGATGACAATACTCAAATGAAAGTAAAAAGTGTTCAATAATGAAGAAATATGGGTCATGGTATATACACATTTATATACAATAACTGTACTTCGTGTCAATTCTTAGCTTTCTTTTTAAAAATCACCTTCCTCTTAGTTTAGCATCTCTTCTTTTCTCTTTTGTCTCTCTGACAAGTCCCTTTCTTTTAATTTACTCTGGCTTCTGCTGCCTCTCCTTGGAAAGCCCCCACCCCTCAGAGTTTTATGCTGAAAGATCTTTTCTCAATTTAACCTATTCATAGGGACTTCATGGAGTCCAGCAATTACCACTTTCTTGAATATGCTAATGACTCTTAATTCTCTGGCTTAAATATTGATCTCCTGCCCAACAGATTGCATTTCTATCTAGTTACTAGTCATCTCCACCTGGATTTTCAAAACAGAACTTTTCTTGCCTTATCACTACTCCCTCATCAAATAGAATTTCCATCTTCATTTGAGGAACACCACAATTCACTCAGTCACACAGGCTGAGAGCTTCAGAATTATCTTTGACACTTAACTTTCCTTCACTCAAAACATTCACTTAGGAAGTTGTAATAACTCTAGTTTTGATCTTTCTCACAATTCTTTCCTGTCTTTTTAAATCTCACTGTTATCGTCTTGAGCCATTTCATTCACTTCTTGAAATCTTGTCCTTTACTTCATCATATTCAAAATAAGATAACAGAGTATTCTCTCTAAAACCCCAATATAATCTGTTTATACTCATCCATGATTTATACTATCCTCAATGTAAACTCTGTAGAATGCTCCAACATGTTTTCGCAATCTAGGACGTTTCCTGTTTCAACCTCATCTCCAGTCACTCTCCTCCATGCATCCTTGGTGCCTTTCAAATGATGACTAGGTGTAATGCAAATATCTATTTATTTTCATTTCCTTGTTTTGCTTATGCTCTTGTTTCTGCTATTCAGCTTACCACTCCTGTTTCTCCTTTCTTAGAAAATCCTACTATCTCTCCAAGATGGAACTCAGATGATTCAGTATTTTTAAGTCAATTTAACTTTCTTGAACAGAATAATGTTATCTACATCTTTCATCTCATGTACATATCACTTATATAATATTTGCTATGATAGACACTCTATAGCATCTAGTGGTTTCATGGCACTGTCTGGTTTCTAAATAAATTATACGCTGCTTTAAAGTCTGAGACCTCGGTCAGTTTGGGTTTTATTTTTAAATACACTGAGTACTTCGCTGCTGTCGGTTAAATATGAATGAAATATTAGAAGCCTCAAAAATATGTCATAACAATTGAGTAGGAAAACTTTGCATTCTTCTCAAAGAATTTCTTAAACTTCTGACAGGTCATTGGAGAATGGCCAATTTGACTCACCTCCTGTTTTGAAGTTTTGGCTAAAGGTTTTGACTTTGCAGTGGAAGCCCACTCAAGTAAAACAAGCATCATCCAAGTCCATGGTTACACAAATATTTATATTATATGCTAAAAGGATAATTTATAAAAACTGAGGATTCTGATAAAATTGTTTTAACAGCAGTAACATGAAAGCATCTCATTGGGGTAGATCTCAGATGCTCCTTTAAACTAAATCAGATTAGAAAAGCAACCTAATTGTTTACTTGACGGGACTACTGGATGTCTAATTTGTATCTCTAATTTGCCATACCCCAAGGAGAAATAATGCTTCCTTAACACCATGCTCATGTGCTACGCTAGGCCATTCTACATCATAACATGTTTCCCTATTCACACATTCTCTCAAGCCAAATACTTAGGAGACATCTCTGATGTCTCTTGCCTCAGCACCCCCCAATCAAATCCATAAAATAGTCCTAATGTCTCTGCTGCCAAAAGATATCCCAATTTTGTTCATTTATTTTCATCTTCAAGGTTACCACCTAATCTGAACAACCAAATCCCCCTTTTGGATTAATAGCTTTCCAAAATGTCATTCTTGCTACTCACTTCCATGAAAATACATTTTTCAAAGAGTAGTCAATCGAAATACATAAGTCAGATTATGTTGCTCTCTTAACATTAAAGTTTCCAGGGGCTTCTCACTTCTTTCTGTAGTCAATGATATGCCACATATACAGTGGTGGTCCCATGTATTGCATAGTGAAATTGTATCAATCTTAATGTCCTAGGAAAATGCATTATTCGTGTGTTTGTGGTGATGCAGGTGTAAAAAAAAATCCCTGCTGCACTGCCAATCTTACAAAATTGTAACACATACCATTCTGCAAAGTACACAATACTTCCCAATGATAATAAACTACTGTGAGACTGGCTTATGTATTTAGTATACTATACATTTTATTGTTACTTTAGAGTATATTCTTTCTAGTTATTTATAACAAAAAGTTCACCATAAAACAACCTCAGGCAGATCTTTCGAGGGTATTCCAGAAGGCAGCCTTGCTATCAAGGAGATGATAACTCCATACATGTTACTGCCCCTGCACACCTTCCAGTGGGACAAGATGTGGCGGTAGAAGACAGTGATATTGATGATCCTTATTGTGTGTAGGTCTAAGCTAATGTGTGTGTTTCTGTCTTAGTTATCAACAAAACGTACTAAAAAGTTATAATTACTACAAATAGAAAAAAGCCTATATAAATAAATTAAATATTTTTGGAGAGCTGTACAATGTGCTTGTGTTTTAAGCTGACATTACAAAAGAGTCCAAAAATTGTAAAACATATATAAAAGTTTATAAAGTAAAAATGTTGCTGTTAGCTAAGATGAATTTATTATAGAAGAAAGAAAAAAAATTAATGTAGCCTAAATGTAGTGTTTATAAAACCAATAATGTCCTGGGCCTTCACATTTACTCACCACTCACTCAGTGACTTACCCAGAGCAACTTCCAGTCTTGCAAGCTCCATTTATGTTAAGTCCTTTATACAGGTATAGCAGTTTTTAATCTTCTATACTGAATTTTTACTGTATGTTTTCTGTTTAGGTATGTTTAGATATACAAACACTTAACTATAGTTTTCAGTACAGTAACCTACAGACTCTACCATCTCAGTTTGTGGAAGTACACTCTATAATGTTTGCACAGTGATGAAATCACTAAAGGATGCACTTCTCAGAACATACCCCCTTGTTAAGTGACATATGACTATATATCTAATGTCATCAATGTGGCTGATAAGGCCCAACATGATCTTGCCTCCACCTCTCCAGTTCGCATAATATTGAACTTCCTCTTCAAAACCACTGACCACCTTTCTGCTCTCACATAAGTGATATTTCACATGCTATTCCTCTTTCCAGAACTCCCTTTTTTAATGGGCTTTCCATGGCTGTCTCTTTTTAGTTACTCTGGTCTCAGATTGAGTATAAGTCTTTATTAGATCCTTAATCAAGCAAAAAGAAGTAATAGCTTCCACCTTTTGTCTAATCACACCAATCCGTTTTATGTCCATCCTGGTATTTATCACTAACCTGTATATCCTTTCTACATATTTATTTTAGCGTCGTTATTATATGCCCCCACATCAGAGAGTAAACTCCATGAAAGGAGAGTCTATTTTCTTCAATACCGTCCTGTATTCTGCCTCTCATGTACCTCTAACAGTGCCTACAACTGCATCTACTGTTGTTACTCTCCACAAAGCTACAGAATGACCTTTGGAAAAGCCTTGTTTAAAATGCAATTTACATGGAATTAAATTCAAAGTCCTTCCAAAAAGTGTTCTACAGAGCCTGATGATGTTATCTTTCTTTGACTAACTCACTGCTGGCACCCCATTGCAGCCACTCTTGTTGACTCCAGTTTGGTGAGGCTGCTGGCCTCTGCTATCCTCCAGCACACCTATAAATTCCCTACCACTCCCTCTTAATGGAAAACGTTCGCAATTATTACTCCCTTGTTTCCTTTGGGTGCTTCCTCCAATGTAACATTGACAGAGAGATAATTTGTAATGAGTCTATTCAAACGACAATAATACCACCATCACTAAAAGTCCTTCATTCGCTGTGCTCTTACTGCTTTAGTTTTCTTTATAGTACTTCTCAGCACATCAAATACATTTATGTGTGTGTTTTCTGTCTCTCTACACCAGAATTTAAGTCTCATAAAAGCAGTGAATTTGTATGTTTTCTTCACTGCTGTAGTCCCAAGGGCTTAATAATGCTTGGTACAAGATAAGTGCTCAAGAATGTTGATTGAATGATTGCCCTATGCAGGTGATTGAATGAGTGAAAATTAAGAGTTTGATGAAGATTTGTTGAGTAAATAAGTGAATCAAACAATCCCAAAGGGGGACGGGGCATATTCAATTGCATGTGTAAGAAAATTTATATTTTCTTAATATGATACTATAAATAATATGTGGTAACTGGAAGAACATATAAAAAACCATGGGAATGGTAAAGGTTATTTGAGCTTGAGTACATGAAAAGTATAATGTATTCCTTAAGTGAATCCTATTAAAGAGTGAAGTTCAGTTAGTCACATTTCAGATAATTTCACTTGCTTAGAAACCATCTCTAGATCTAGTAGCACTCGTTTGGGAAATAATAGCTTTATGGGTGAACAAAATTATGGCAAACTGACAAAGAAAAATAGCAAAAAATATAAATGGGATAACTTGTTTTATTGCCTTGTAGATAGTATGTTTAGCAAATTACATATCCAATTATCTTTCAAAACAGGTTGTGTCAAGGCATTCATTATCCACTGAAGGTTGAAATAATGTCCTTTCCATTTCATGCTAGGTGGATGACTGGCTGGTTGATATTCCTTGGAGCTAGGTCTCTGAGATTGGCAATTTTTATTCCAGAAGTCTGTGTTTGGAGACATTCCTGTTGCATGATTTATTTTTTTAAAGTCATTTTAAACACAGAGACAGAATACTGTTTGGTATGAAGCAGCATTTTTCACTAATATTCTTTCAAATTTATCTCTATGCCAGCTTGGGCATGAATAACAGAGGCTTTTGCATGGTTTAGTGATACATGGAGGTGGTGTGTTCATGGTGTGCTCACAAGTAAAATGAAAAATTGCTTGGTTGCTCTCAGCCAAGTGCTAGAGAAGATAGCAATATACTTAGCTCTCTGTTCAATGCATCTAGTAAGAATAATGTTCTGATGTTCAACTACCTCAAAATTTCTCAATCTACTTTCCATTTAACACATTCAGCAGACATGGCTATAACATCACTGTGAGTTCTTTTTAAAGAAGGGAAAAGGAAGTATGCAATATGACAATGAAATTGTATGTTAACTTGATTGTTTTTAAGTTAAAACAGTATTTAACCTTATCAAGAGAGATTCACAAGCAACTACAAAAGTAAAACCACAGCATTAAGAATGAAAAATCCAGGCTGATGTTTTATGAATAGACATGCATCATTCTTATATGAAATATATTGATACGCTATATCCAGAAGAATAACTTACAAGTTGATGATGGAATTGTAAAAACAACTCTACTAATACATCATGCCAATAGGTCAAATAAGCAAAAGGATATGTAGTAATTTCTAAAAGTATATGAAAGTCAAGAAATTTTAAAATCCATTCCAATTATTTTAGAGCAGGAGCACAAATCCTTAATATAAGACAAAAAGGTCCAGGTCAAACTTATAGCTAACATAAAGTCATACTTAACACAATATCACATTGAAATGTGAATGATTACAATTAGAAGTTTTAAAAATTGTTTCACTATCCCTCATATCAACTAACATACAGCCTTTGTAATAAAATTAAATGAGTAGGAAAAAATAGAAACCCATAGACTATATTCCTATTCTCTTCTTTGAGAATATAAACCAACTAGGTTTAATATAGTGTTCTACTGGTAATCCAGGTCTAAAAAAAAAAAAACAACTGGCAAACATGAGATTCTCCCTGGTATTTTAAACTGTAACAACAACCGAAACTATTTTGAGGAGATTGGACCCGGGTCACTTGTTCTCCTCAATTCCCTGGGTCTGGATCTTTTCTCTAGGGTCGGGAGGACCCCTTCTGCTTGCTTCGCTGTTCTCAAGGAATTCTCCCTCCTCACACTTGGGATACAGGCCCTTCAATGGACAAAGGCCTTAACACAAAGTGAGAAACTTGTTTAAATGAACGTGATTTCTGCTGGAGGTCCTGACACAACTTTGCTGTTGTGCAAAGGAACATGAAGCCTGCTTCCAGCATAAATGGAGGAAAACACAAGGGGTGGAATGGCTAGGCAAAAAAGTATAAGTTAGTTGCTGGAATTTATTATATCACATTTTATACATATTATAAATAATACATTAGTATTTTAATTTTTAAAACTTAAATTTAACATAAAAAGAATGTGACTATGAATATTCTGTTGTTTCTTTCAGGTAGATAGTTATAAGTTGATTTTATAGACCGTTTTTCTAATTCATGAGCCACTTGAAATATCAAACTGTAGTAATGGAATACACTAGCAAAAGGAAGTAAACTTCTTTCTTGTTTGTTTGATTGTTTTCTTTTTTAAAAACTCCTATTGAACAGAAAAGTTGCATTGACAAATGAACTACAGAGATCTTCAACTTAAAGAATACATTTCAACATATTAAAACCATACTGCAACAGGAATTTATTTTTATTTAGGCAGTAGCCCTAAGCAATCTATAAAGCAAAGTTTATGGGCGAAAAGAGAAAAAATCCTATCTCATCAGATGAAGAATTTTGGTAAATTCAAAGGAAATCCATTTGAATTATTCATAAGGAAAGGCAATTTTTTCCCCAAACCAACCTTTAATTGAAAACCTTGGTTTACCAAGAAGTTAAAACGATGTTATTATTGCAGGCATTTCAATTGGATCCACTTACTGGTGTCCTGAGACACTGATCCCATTGGTCCTCGGGTGGTTTGGTTGACACCTTTGTACTCAGGCTCTGAGCATCCCCCAAATTTTACCTCAGGGTGGCAATTGTTATTGTTTTCTTTACTGTTATTATCTCTTTTGTATTATATTGTTTACTTAACTCTCTTCCCAACTAGTAAATATACTAGATAGAGGCAGAGATTTTTGTTCCTTACGAAGCTCTAAATTTCTGAAACAGTGCCTGATGTAGGCACTCAATAAATATTTGTTGAACAATAAATGAATGGATGGGAATTTGGGGAAGCTCTCACCTAGCTTATATACAGAACTTGTTCTTATTTCCAAGATTACTTCAAACTTCCAGTAGAAAAAAAAATGGCATCATCACTTATACTCCATGATTCCATTTATCTTTCTCTGGCCCTGTACTCCCACTTCACCTTTTTGAAAAGGCGCATCGATGTCTGTCCCTTATATAGGTATATGGGTGAAAACTAGCCAAGTTTTCTCATAAGTAATTTTCAGGGTTACAAAGGAAGAGGCATTACAGTAAACTGGTGATAAATGTGGACTCTGGCAGTAGACTTTCTAGGTACAGATGCTGAATAGGTTAATTACTAGCACTGTGAACCTGAGCATTTACTTAAAATTTATCTACTTTAGCTTTCTCATCTGCAAAATAGAATAAAAATATAACTACCTCATTGAATTGTTGTAATAATGAAATTAACCTGTTAAGGATTTATTCTACTTCCTACCCCCATGAGATCAATTCCTTAGCTCCCACAGATGAGTGAGAACGTAAATGTTTGTCTTTCTGCACCTCACTAACTTCACTTAATGACCTCCAGTTCTATCCATGTTGTTGCAAATGAAAGGATTTTTATCTAATATTCAATAGCATAGTGGGGTGACTATAGTTAACAATGCATTTTATATATTAAAATAGCTTGAAGAGTGGAGTTAACATGTTCCCAACCCACAGAAATGATACATAAGGTGATGGACATCCTAAGTACCTTCACTTGATCATTACACTTCCTAAGCATGTGAGAAAATATTTTATGTACCCCAAATATATATAAATATTATGGATCAATAAGCCAAAAATCACTCTTATGAGAACAAATTCATTATTGCAAGAGCTAACCCAGTCTCTCTTGAGATTTTAATGACCTAGTCATCTCATAAAGGCCCTATCTCTTAACACCAATATAATGGCAATTAATTTCAACATTAGTTTTAGTGGGGACAAACTACATTCAAACCATAGTAGACTGTTAGATATTTATTAAGGACTCTAAAAATAGTAAGAGCTCGGGTTTCTAAAATTCACATTTGCATCAAATTCAGTATGTTTACATCTTCTGATAAAGATATGTTTAGTACAGTATGAACTTAGCCTTTTTTGTAAAAAATTATAGTCCTTTATTAACATTTTTTAATCTTTGTTTTGCTGAAGTTACAATTTTTCTTGAAAAAGATATAAAATTTGGTGCATAAAATTTTTTATGTGAACTTGTATAGAAAGGCAAATTTTAAGAGAATACCACACATTATACACACACACACACACACACACACACACACACACAGAGTAGAAAAAGCTATAGGGAAAGAAATAGTTGTTAACGTGCCCTATCCTGGGAAATGCTATCCATATTTTTTCTAATTGAGTGTTTTTGTTTTTTATGATAAAAAATCATGATTAAGAATTCTTTATGTGTAAAAATCAAAAGCCTAATCATTAAAAACAGTTTAATCATACTGAGCTTCTAACACCAAAGGACCTGGATTGTATTTATCATGGCCAGTTGAATATATTTAATCTTTTTCTTTCCTTACATTGGCCATTTCAATTTAAACAGCTGAATGGCCACTGAGTAGATTTCAAAAGCAATAGATATTTTGGAAGTCTTTAAAATTTGAAAAAAAAAAAAGTACAAATGAATACAATGCATTACCCTTAAGTTAACCACTGAAAATAGACCAAATTATTTCTAGTTAGCAGTTGTAAATGGCACAAGGCAGCATGGTGATCACCTGTTTTCACAGGGTCAGAACCTTTCTTTGTAGCTCTGCATCCCCAGATACATACATGCTGTATTGAAGGGTAAGTTAGCATATCAATCTACAGTGTCATTTGCCTAGAGATAGCTCCTTGTTCAGGGTATTGGCACTGGTTGGCCAGAGTAATGTACAAGCTGATTTTCTTTTGGCAAGTCACAGTTTTCTCTCTCTCCCAATGCTGTGATGCATGCGTAATTTTTATTGTGGTTTAGCTGATTGCCGTGAAATTGCTTTTCATCTCATGTAAATTTGCAAATGTCTGTGTGTGATTGGCATTCACAGTTGAAAGAACATAATTTGTTCCTATTTTACACAGGTGATATATGAGCATATTTTTCTGAGTTCTTTGGGAAAAAAGACAATCAAAGGCTGAAAATCAAATAATAGTAATTTATCTGTTGTAGGAGTGGCTGTTACTGTGGTCTAAAATACCCATTCCATTTTTTGTTCTTTTGCCACAACAAAACCAATATTCATTAGGTCAAATGATATTTAACATATTCACTATTCTTATCGCTTTTTACAATTTTCTTTAGCAGGTAGGTGTTATTTTGTCAAAACTAAACATATAAATTTAACAGATCCTCACATAATCATTCTAATTCAGAGAAAGTAAGGCTGACTTTGTAGGAAGCTAAAATTACAGATCATTTTAAAGAAATATTTTCAGTCTAGAGAAAAATATTTAGCATACTGCATTATCTTGGAATGTAGACAAGATTGTAGAAGCTTCTAGTTTACCTAACTAACCTATAGCATTTCACATTCATGAAGAATTTTGCTAAGGCGGGAATAGATTTAGCTCAATTTTCCCAGGCCATTCTTCTCAATGCAAATGTTTCAGAATTAGCATACAGATTGTCATTCTCCACTTTTACAGTCCCTCATTCGCATCCTACAGAGTACATAGGAAAGTTCCTAGAATTTTTGTATTAGTAATAACCCACACCTACATGTTATCATGCATGTCTTGCCCTGATTAGTAGTCATTTCCAGTGTTTACTTGTTGGGTTAAGATGTGATACATGCAGATTATGGAATATTTTTAGAAAATACACATTATATTCAAATATGTTTTGGAACACTTTGGATTAAAAGAGGGAAACAGATTTGAAAGCTCTAACAAACACACTAGTGCTTGAATGCATATACATAAACAATTTATACTGGGCCTATTCATATTTTGAATTTTAGGTAATCAGCATGCCCATATTCTTATCAACATGAATTTATCACAAATATAAAATTGGGGACATCTGAAGGTATACACTTTTAGATAGCAAATGGTTATAAAGACCAGAGACAACTTATTCGTCAGACACAGTAGGTACGGCACTTAGGGGTCATGAAAATTTTATAGGCCCATTATATTTTCAAATTTTAATGTATCTTAGAAACCAAAGAAAAAATGAGTATAACAATGAATAACGATGAATGTAAAATAGTGAACATAGCCTAGGTAATATTACATATATTTCATATAAAATATAATATATAAATATTTTATAGGAAATATATTTATACATGAAAATACTTTATATAACATATAAATATATAAATTAAACATAAATATAAATTTACATAAAATATAAACATATTTATATATTTTATGTTTTATACACAGAGAGATAGAGCATAAGAAAATAGGCCCACGAAAGTTATAATGCTTGTATATGATGGTTGCATCACTCACATACACTGCATACTAATGATCATGCTAAACTTATTTCTCATTTTTCTCTATATTATTAATAGTACTTTAAAGGAAGTTCTTGCAAACACTAGGGAATATCATCTGTGGCCCTTGTGATCAACCACAGCATGACCTACATGCTGTCTCTGGCCCGAGGAACCTGAACGGAAGAAGCACAGACTTTTGTTTCTTTCTACATTGGTCTGCAACTTGTTTTGACTTTGTTCTTTTGCTCTTATGTTTATCTGTTTGTTTTCCTGTTTTGTTTTATTCAATGGTAAATATTCACTTTCCTCTGAAGAGGCTTGCAAAATGGTCACATATGCTTTTCTTCATTAGGATTGTTCAGGAATGATGAGGCTACTCGACACTTAGGGAGTAATTTCAATTTTAGAGCTCTTTATAAACATTAAGTGATGACAACTAACCAACTGTGATCTAAGAAGGTGCATTACCAGGGATAAATAGGGACTCCATCATTTCTAGTATACGCTGCTGTCATTGTAAACCTTCTTTAACGTAAAAGAAAAGGTCCAATCACTGAGACATAATTAATAAATTTTATTTATGCTGATTTTGCTTTATTTTATTGTCTTCTGTGCTTTAATGGGGCAATATTTTATACTAACATTAAACTGCTCCTGCAAAAAAGCACTCAGCAGCATTGATCTTGAGAACTTTATTAATATGTTCCATAGAGTGATACATGTGCTGTGGCTGCTCTTATTTCTTTTATAGAGTACAGGAGGATATGACACGTAAGCATGAATTATCCACCTGAAAACATCATGAACGAAACTTTGCAAAATAATCAACAGCATACTAGTGTGATTTACAGTGGGCAAGTTGATATTGAATAAGGAATAGTTTAATCATATAGATATTTATATAGACTGGTACATTAACACTGATTTATAATACATATAATACATTATTGCAAATTACTATCATAAATATATAATAAATTATACTTTAAAAAATTTTCACATTACCTTTTTGCCTCTTAAGCACATGCTATATTGCTTACAACTTTTCAAGGGATATGCATTATAAAAAAAATTAAAACTGTAACTATATAATTAAGATAGAGGTATTCATAGAAGCTATATTAATTTTATATGGTTACCTTTACAAATTACACAATTTTATGGCTTAAAACTACACAAATTCCTTATTTTATAGTTCTGTACCTCAGAAGATTAAAATGGGTCTCACTGGGCTAGTCATGATACTGGCAAGGCTGCATTCCCTCTGAAGCCCCTAAGAAACAATTTGTTTTCTTGCCTCTTCCATCTTCTAGAAGCTGTCCCCATTTCTTGGCTCCTGGCCCTCTTCCTTCATCTTTTTTTTTTTTTTTTTTTGCATGCAATAAAGGATCAAGTTTTCACACTGCATCACTCTAACTTCTTCCCTGCTTTCCTCTTCCACTTTTAAAGACCCGTGTGATTACATTGGGACCTGCCAGATAATTCAGAATAATATCTGTATTTTAAAGTCAGCTGATTAGAACATTAATTCCATCTGCAACCTTAATTCTCCTTTGCTGTGTGCATTCATGCGCATTCACAAGTTCTGAGGATTAAGATATAAATATCTTTGGAGGTGATTATTCTGACTACCACTGAGACATATTGTAAAATATTTTCCCTGGATAAATTTAAGCTACCATGAATCTCAAGCATATATTTTTAATAGAAGATTTCCTTGTATTTTGTTTACAACACAAACCTGTTTTTAAGAAAATAAGACCACTTTTAATGCTAATATTGTGAACATTGTATTCATTAGTATTTTATGCATTTAAGATTATTTTTTATTTCCATTAACTTTTATAGTTTATATATTGACAGTCTCATTATTAGCATTTTTTCCTAGTCAAGACAATTATCTTCCAGTTGAATTGAGAACAGAAGAAACTTCTAGAGCTAGGTTAATGTGAATTGAGAAACTTGTAAAATATTTGATATAACTTCCATTGTGTTTCTAATAAGATTGATATGAGTATATATACTTTATTAACCTTTCACTATGATTTATTTTTTGAATAGTAAAAACAGTTATTTTAAAAAGAGACTTGAAAGCAAATTTGAATATAATTTTACATGAAAGTTTAATGTAAAAGTCATCAGTTACGAAGGAATGCTACTCTAATGTCTTAAGAAAAGCCATTGTTATATATAGGGACAGTGAAATTAGAAGGAAAAAGAACATAGTTTAGTTTCAAGTTACTTTAATTTCAAGTGAATCTCAAAGGCAAAAATTAATTTGGGAAAAATAAAATTAGCAATATTTTTATATGAATATACCAATTCCAATAAGTTTTCAGAGTAAATGGTAGCCATAATTACCAAACTTTTTCTCAAGTTTGAATGAAACGCTTTCTCAATAGACATGTCTCTCAGTTGACAAAGAAGAGTTTGCTTTTTCTTGGAAACTAAATTATTTTTGATGCTTATTACTGAGTCTTCACAGTTTGACCAGTTGCATTTATTTAACTTGCTTAACTGACAACACTATATAAAATACATAGCAAACACAAAATAATAACAGAATAAGCCCTGATTCTCAAATAGAAGTGAAAACTGCATGAAAAAGTTGGAATTATTCATATTCTTGCAGGAAATACCTGCCACTCTGGCTGTACTATTATTTTCTTTCCCATTCTATGTCTATAAAATGACATGTTGACATGAGTTTGACTTTCTAAAATCAGTTGAGGCTAGAATATGTTGAAAAAATGCGTGCTATTTTAATACTTGACATTAAAAAACTGTAAGAAGAAATCTAGAAATTGTTAAATTAACCTCTATTCTTTGATGTCCTCCCTACCCTGAGTAATCTATTTCTGATGGCTTTTTCTCTTGTTTGAAGGTCTTAAAATTTACTCAAAATATAAAACCAAAAAACTATACTAAGAAATCACATAAGTTCTATTTGTAAATTGAATATTGAATAAATGTTGTGTGTGCCTAGAATAAATTTGGTACAATTTAAACTATAAAGAATGTGTTTAAATAACACTTTAAAAGATTAAGTTTCATGTGACCAGACTGCTTCTGTCTAAACTTGAGTATACAACCCCAAATAGTGCCTGTGTTCCCAGCCTATTGGAATCTGCCCAACCCTTGAGGCAATAATAGTGAACGCTGTTACTTTGGCTGCTAAGACAGTTTCTCATTGAGGAAATATAAAAAAGGGGTTCTACTTGCCTCAGCATATTTTCCATTTAAACAAAACCTGTTTATTTATGGAAGAAATATATCCAATATCATCAAAGACAATAGTATGTCAAAATTAAAAGTCTCATGGTATCAACTAATACTTCCATTTAAATGTCTTCAAGTACTGTGATGCTATGGTGACTTTTTACACTTGCCACCTTAACCTAAGAGGCGACACCGTTCTGAAGCCCAATCTTTTAAGTGACATAAGTGCTTTCCATGAATTGTAATGTTTTAAAGTAGATATTTATGTTTATGAATTTGAAATGATCCATAATTCTTAGTGAATTCTATCATCTCATTTCCAAAGTACTTTTATCTCCATCATTTCATCTTTGTTGTCATTTCAGTCTGTATTTCTCACTCATGTGTTGTATAGTTCAATCCCCAAGGTAAGGAACTGTATTAAATAGGCTTAGTGACAAATATGTAGTTACCAGTAACCCAGGAGTAGTTTAAAACCAATAGACTCAGACACACTCTATCATCCCACTTATTTCATTACCATTGCACTAGACCTCTACATGCCTAAAGAGTAATTTTTGTCCATATATCCCATATCAAGAGGAAGTAGTGAATTGTGATTTTTCGTATGAAACGTGATCTTTCCTATATTTTAACTCTCACAAATTGGCAGGAGCACAAAATATTTTCTTAAAGAACATTAAATTCTCATTCCCATCTTCAATTTTTGTTGAGGTAAAGTTCTCTCAAATAATTTCAGGAACAAAGTTAAGTTATCTAATATATCCCCAATAATCAGTGAAAATGTTAGCTAATAGATAATATCTAAGACAGATTATCTACTTAATTTCTTATCTGCAATATCAGAAAGCAAGTTAGTATTATACCTGTGTTTATAGTTCGGGAATTGTAGGGAACTAATACGTGAAGAGAAGTAATTTGTAAAGTGCTTGGCAATTAAATAACTTACTTCTGACAAAAGTGGATGTGGAGATTAAATATTCATTTCTAAAGAGAATATCAATGTTCTGAGTGTATATCATGGACATAGTAAAACTGGGACTTCTACTTTAAATTCTTATTTTCTATGTAACTTTTAAATAAAATCACATAATAAAACCAAGAACATACTATAAATAGTAGCCAGGTAACAATCAACTAGCCGTCACTAAAATCCATTGCTTAAGACAACTGTTTTTCCTTGATGAACTGTGCCCAAAATACAGTGCCATTCTCCTAAGAAAAAACAAAAAGAACGAACACATAGCTTAGAAATATAACAGAGCCTAGCACTCATGTCATAGTCTTCATGGCTTCTTTGAAATTAAAGTAAGGTAGGTTACACGCTGGAAACAGCCAAGAAAAATTATGCTGCTTTATTTATGATCGTAATTCTACCATTGGTTACAATATTTTGTGTTTAGAATAAATTGATTAAACTCCAGTGATCCATATTTTCAAATCTGTAGAACAAATGTGATGCAATAGATGTTTTCTAAATGTCTTTCAGCTCAGCTCTCTAAAACTGGATGCTGCTCTGAAACTAAGATTTCAGAGCTGGTGGCAATGGCTGCCATAGATATTTCTGAATATGTGAGTCTGAGTGTTCTGAATGTGAATTCTACTTGCATAAATTCGGTCAACACTTGTATTGAAAAAGTTCTAGTTTGGGTGGGACATGATGTCACAAAGTTGGTGTACTCTACTCTCTAGTCTTCATAAGATATGTAATAAGTATATCAAAATGATTTATAAATATCTAGAATCTGAAAATCTAGAGACTGTTAATATTTTAGTGGATCTATGTGCATCTTTCTTCATGATAAAAATGAAATGTTATATCAATATATAACATTTGAAATTATGAGCAATTCAGATCAATCACACATATAGTTTTTTTTTTCTTTCTTTTTTACATACAATATGTATGAAAATTTCCCACTTCAAATTTATTTTTATTACATACTAGAACAAAATATTTTATTGTAGCTATGCATCTATCCAAAATAAACATTCCATAGTGTTGTGCCAGACATTAGTGTCTTCACATCTTTATCCAAACGTTTTATCATATTTTAATAATACATTTCCTAGAAATGGGGTAGATTTTATTGATAAGTCAAAATATATAAATTTATTTGAGGTTTTATATTTGTGAAGCCAAATTGCTTTCCAGAAGGTTTTTAGACTTTTTTCCAGAGACTGAATAACAAAACCCTTACAGCATTAGGTGTTATTTTTCTTAATTATTTTTAAATTCAGTTTTAAAAATATGTTATTATTAATGTTATTATTTTATATTTGAATCTGTATTTATTTGGAATTACAATGATTATTTTTATGCATTAGCCTTTTGTTGATTTTTAAATTTAAAATCAGGATTTATATATTTGTTCTCGGTTTGTTGCTGTTTATTTGTTTGAATCATGCTATGGTTTGAATGTTTGTTTTCTCCAAAACTCTTGTTGAAATTTAATTGCCATTTTTATAGTATTGGGAGAAGGGACTTTTAAAAGATGGCTAGTCATGAGGTCCTGGCTCTCATGAATAGATTAATGCTGTTATCATTATCATGGTTGTAAGTTTGACTCCTGTTGCTCTCTCTCCTACTGTTTGCCTTTCTGCCATGTGATGACTTCTGCCATGTTATGGCATAGCAAGAAGGCTCTAATCAAATGCTGGCCGCTTGATCTTGGAGTTCCCAGCCTCCAGAACTAAGAGCCTATACATTTCTGCTCCTTATAAATTACCTAGTCTGTGGTATTCTGTTAAAGCAGCACAAACAGATTAAAACACATCACGATGTTTTATGCGACTTTACTTTATCAATTTATTTAAAGTCATTCATAACATATTCTGAAAGTATTTATAACTAACCCTAAACTAAGGACAAGTCAGTGCAACAAAAGACTATGAATTTACTTTAGTCAAATGATATAATTATGTTCCATGGAATTCCGATTCCATTGAGATATTAATCCAGCTAAAGTATTTCTTGAAGTGCAGTATAGACACACTGTATTTCAGCTTAAAATGTTTGTTTGGGGAGGAGGATGAGGTAACAATGCAGTCATTGCTTGAGAAAATTTTATTTCACTCATTGATTATGGAAGAAAATACCAACTACACTTTTTTTCCCTAACCTTTCCCTAATCCTAATCTTCCTATTTTTTTCTTCAGTGTCTCCATCTATATGACACATTTGTTTCAAGAGAATCAAAAATAGAAAATATAAAATACTAACTGGGTAGAAAGTATAATAAAATCAGTACACTTATAATAGTTTAAAAGCATATAAAATTAGAAGAAAAAATATTAAACAAGAAATATATCATAACTGGTAACACAAACACAAAATTTGATAAAGTAATTAAGGAAGAAGGATATGAGTGGAGAACATACTGTATTTCCAAATAAACTTTTTAGTACTATAAGATATGTATTTTCACTTTTATCACATCATCAAAATTCCATATAAAATTTAAAGAAGATCCTTTAGAAACTCAAAATAACTCCGAAATTGTATTTGGAATTATAAATAGGAATATATACTTTAAAAATTCTGGTGAAATTTGTGGTGTATCACCCTTTTTACACTTTTTAAAAGGTACTCAGCAAAGCTTAAAATGTTTAAGTGAGACCTTTTGACAGATGGAAAATGCAACCAATTGAGAGATTACAAACACATTAAGAATGAGAACATATGGCATTATGCTAAATAATCATTTAATAAATGTTCAGGTAATAACTATACGAAAAAATACTGTCCTTTATTTCTCAACATTTAAAAATTAAATTTTAAAAGTTGAAATTTTAAACATAAATGCAGATGAAAGAAGAACAGAATAGAGGCTGGGCACAGTGCCACTTGCTTGTAATCCCAGCAGTTTTCAAGGCCACAGCAGGAAGATTGCTTGAGCTCAGGAGTTTGAGACCAGCATGGGCAACATGAGGAAATCCTGTCTCTACAAAAAAATACAAAAAATCAGCCAGGCGTGGTGGTGTGTGACTGTATTCCCAGCTACTTAAGAGGCTGGGGTGGGAGGATCACTTGAGCCAGAGAGGTCAAGGATGCGGTGAGTCAAGATTGTGCCTCTGCACTCCAGCCTGGGTGATAGAGTGAGACCTTGTCTCAAAAAACAAAACAAAACAAAAAACCCAGAATGATGAGTAACTGTCTTGTTTGAGACTTATCCAATTCCTTACAAAGTATAAAAGAAGTAAACAGAAAAGACTGATGTAATTCACTATAAAAAATTATATATCTACTACAAAAAAAACCAATTAAACAAAATTGAGACTAATAGATTTGTGAGGATTAGCATTTAAATTATGATTGAGTGTGTGTTTTAATAATATTATATATGTCAAGGAAATACAAAACATGTCAAGGAAATTTAAAAAATCATGAAAATGCACTAAATGCAGTGACGTGGAAATACTAAACATCAAGTATTTGGAGAAATGTTTGCATTATTATGATGTAAAACCTTAAGAACCATTAAGAAAAATATACTATATTTACTAAAAATGGGCACAGAATTAAAAAAACAAAACTTTTAAAAGCTTTAAAATTGGCCTGGAAAAATATAAAGATTTAAATAAAGTTTCATTAATAGCCTATTGTGTTCAAATTTTAAAAATAAGTTTCATTCTCTTTTTTCTTTTAACATTTAACACCCCCTTTATTTAAAGTTGGATTTGTTTTTTTATTTTATTATTATATATATTTTTATTATACTTTAGTTTTAGGGTACATGTGCACAACCTACAGGTTAGTTACATATGTATACATATGCCATGTTGGTGTGCTGCACCCATTAACTCGTCATTTAACATTAGGTATATCTCCTAATGCTATCCCTCCCCCCTACCCCTACCCAAAACAGGCCCCGGTGTGTGATGTTCCCCTTCCTGTGTCCATGTGTTCTCATTGTTCAATTCCCACCTATGAGTGAGAACATGTGGTGTTTGTTTTTTTGTCCTTGCTATAGTTTGCTGAGAATGATGGTTTCCAGCTTCATCCATGTCCCTACAAAGGACATGAACTCATCATTTTTTATGGCTGCATAGTATTCCATGGTGTATATGTGACACATTTTCTTAATCCAGTCTATCCTTGTTGGACATTTGGGTTGGTTCCAAGTCTTTGCTATTGTGAATAGTGCCGCAATAAACATACGTGTGCATGTGTCTTTATAGCAGCATGATTTATATTCCTTTGGGTATATACCCAGTAATGGGATGGCTGGGTCAAATGGTATTTCTAGTTCTAGATCCCTAAGGAATCGCCACACTGATTTCCACAACGGTTGAACTAGTTTACAGTCCCACCAACAGTGTGAAAGTGTTCCTATTTCTCCATATCCTCTCCAGCACCTGTTGTTTCCTGACTTTTTAATGATTGCCATTCTAACTGGTGTGAGATGATATCTCATTATGGTTTTGATTTGCATTTCCCTGATGGCCAGTGATGGTGAGCATTTTTTCATGTGTCTTTTGGCTGCATAAATGTCTTCTTTTGAAAAGTGTCTGTTCATATCCTTCACCCATTTTTTGATAGGGTTGTTTGTTTTTTTCTTGTAAATTTGTTTGAGTCCATTGTAGATTCTGGATATTAGCCCTTTGTCAGATGAGTAGATTGCAAAAATTTTCTCCCACTCTGTAGGTTGCCTGTTCACTCTGATGGTAGTTTCTTTTGCTGTGCAGAAGCTCCTTAGTTTAATTAGATCCCATTTGTCAATTTTGGCTTTTGTTGCCATTGCTTTTGGTGTTTTGGACATGAAGTCCTTGCCGATGCCTATGTCCTGAATGGTACTGCCTAGGTTTTCTTCTAGGGTTTTTATGGTTTCAGGTCTAACATTTAAGTCTCTAATACATCTTGAATTAATTTTTGTATGAGGTGTAAGGAAGGGATCCAGTTTCAGCTTTCTACATATGGCTAGCCAGTTTTCCCGGCACCATTTATTAAATAGGGAATCCTTTCCCCATTGCTTGTTTTTCTCAGGTTTGTCAAAGATCACATGGTTGTAGATATGCAGCATTATTTATGAGGGCTCTGTTCTGTTCCATTGGTCTATATCTCTGTTTTGGTACCAGTACCATGCTGTTTTGGTTACTGTAGCCTTGTAGTATAGTTTGAAGTCAGGTAGGGTGATGCCTCCAGCTTTGTTCTTTTGGCTTAGGATTGACTTGGCAATGCAGGCTCTTTTTTGGTTCCATATGAACTTTAAAGCAGTTTTTTCCAATTCTGTGAAGAAAGTCATTGGTAGCTTGATGGGGATGGCATTGTATCTATAAATTACCTTGGTCAGTATGGCCATTTTCACGATATTGATTCTTCCTACCCATGAGCATAGAATGTTCTTCCACTTGTTTGTATCTTCTTTTATTTCGTTGAGCAGTGGTTTGTAGTTCTCCTTGAAGAGGTCCTTCACGTCCCTTGTAAGTTGGATTCCTAGGTATTTTATTCTCTTTGAAGCAATTGTGAATGGGAGTTCACTCATGATTTGGCTCTCTGTTTGTCTGTTATTGGTGTATAAGAATGCTTGTGATTTTTGCACATTGATTTTGTATCCTGAGACTTTGCTGAAGTTGTTTATCAGCTTAAGGAGACTTTGGGCTGAGACCATGGGGTTTTCTAGATATACAATCATGTCATCTGCAAACAGGGACAATTTGACTTTCTCTTTTCCTAATTGAATACCCTTTATTTCCTTCTCCTGCCTGACTTCCCTGGCCAGAACTTCCAACAGTATGTTGAATAGGAGTGGTGAGAGAGGGCAGCCCTGTCTTGTGCCCGTTTTCAAAGGGAATGCTTCCAGTTTTTGCCCATTCAGTATGATATTGGCTGTGGGTTTGTCGTAGATAGCTCTTATTATTTTGAGATACGTCCCATCAATACGTAGTTTATTGAGATTTTTTAGCATGAAGGTTGTTGAATTTTGTCAAAGGCCTTTTATGCATCTATTGAGATAATCATACGGTTTTTGTCTTTGGTTCTGTTTATATGCTGGATTACATTTATTGATTTGCGTATGTTGAACCAGCCTTGCATCCCAGGGATGAAGCCCACTTGATCATGGTGGATAAGCTTTTTGATGTGCTGCTGGATTCGGTTTGCCAGTATTTTATTGAGGATTTTTGCATCAATGTTCATCAAGGATATTGGTCTAAAATTCTCTTTTTATGTTGTGTCTCTGCCAGGCTTTGGTATCAGGATGATACTGGCCTCATAAAATGAGTTAGGGAGGATTCCCTCTTTTTCTAATGATTGGAATAGTTTCAGAAGGAATGGTAACAGCTCCTCCTTGTACCTCTGGTAGAATTCGGCTGTGAATCCATCTGGTCCTGGACTTTTTTTGGTTGCTAAGCTGTTATTGCCTCAATTTCAGAGCCTGTTATCAGTCTATTCAGAGATTCAACTTCTTCCTGGTTTAGTCTTGAGAGGATGTATGTGTCGAGGAATTTATCCATTTCTTCTAGATTTTCTAGTTTATTTGCGCAGAGGTGTTTATAGTATTCTCTGATGGTAGTTTGTATTTCTGTGGGATTGGTGGTGGTATCCCCTTTATCATTTTTTATTACATCTATTTGATTCTTCTCTCTTCTTTATTAGTCTTGCTAGAGGTCTATCAATTTTGTTGATCTTTTCAAAAAACCAGCTCCTGGATTCATTGATTTTTTTAAGGGTTTTTTTTTGTGTCTCTATTTCCTTCAGTTCTGCTATGATCTTAGTTATTTCTTGCCTTCTGCTAGCTTTTGAAGGTGTTTGCTCTTGCTTCTCTAGTTCTTTTAGTTGTGATGTTAGGGTGTCAATTTTAGATCTTTCCTGCTTTCTCTTGCGGGCATTTAGTGCTATAAATTTCCCTCTACACATTGCTTTGAATGTGTCCCAGAGATTCTGGTATGTTGTGTCTTTGTTCTCATTGGTTTCAAAGGACATCTTTATTTCTGCCTTCATTTTGTTATGTACCCAGTAGTCATTCAGGAGCAGGTTGTTCAGTTTCCATGTAGTTGAGCGGTTTTGAGTGAGTTTGTTAATCCTGAGTTCTAGTTTGATTGCACTGTGGTCTGAGAGACAGTTTGTTATAATTTCTGTTCTTTTACATTTGCTGAGGAGTGCTTTACTTCCAACTATACGGTCAATTTTGGAATAGGTGTGGTGTGGTGCTGAGAAGAATGTATATTCTGTTGATTTCGGGTGGAGAGTTCTGTAGATGTCTATTATGTCTGCTTGGTGCAGAGCTGAGTTCAATTCCTGGATATCCTTGTTAACTTTCTGTCTCTTTGATCTGTCTAATGTTGACAGTGGGGTGTTAAAGTCTCCCACTATTAATGTGTGGGAGTCTAAGTCTCTTTGTAGGTCACTCAGGACTTGCTTTATGAATCTGGGTGCTCCTGTATTGGGTGCATATATATTTAGGATAGTTAGCTCTTCTTGTTGAATTGATCCCTTTACCATTATGTAATGGCCTTCTTCGTCTGAAGCTGTTCCTATTCGTCCATCTTGTCTCCACCCCCCATTCTCTTTACTTCAGTCAAAATTAGACAAAGTTGTCATGGTCAACTGTCAGAGGCTGGCGCCTGGGTAGTAAAGGAATTTACCCAAGACAGTAACAAGTTTAGAAAGACAGATTTATTAGAGAAAAGGGAACAGTACGTTGCAAGGGAGCAACAGGCAAGATAGTAAAAAGAAGGCTCTCTGCTGTCTGCAAAGAGGCAGGAGCTAGAGGGAAATTTTATAAGGTCATGCTGCTTAGTCTGAATGCTTACAGACAAGATGCTTGGGTGCATGTGAGCTGGTGAGCTCAGGGCCTGTGGCAGGATACTCGGGGGGTGCCAGTAAGCTGTTTGCAGTTGACCCCATTTCTTGGAACATTCACTCCCACCTACCCATTTGTCTGTTTCTGCAAGCTAAACCTATTTGTCAATTTTATTTTAACTCCTTAGTGCCCCACAAAAGTGAAAGGGACTAACAAACTGAAATCTAATTCTGGGAATGATCTGTGGAGAAAAAAAATCATTCTCATACATGATGCATTGTTGCTGGTGCTATACATTGCTAAAACGTCTCTGGAAGGCATTTTTACAATGAGTAACATCAAGTAACATAGGTACATGTTTTAAACTCACTAATTACTCTTCATGGAAATGACTCCAAATAATTATATCATTAACAAAAAAAGACAGTGATCTATGTAGATTATGTATAAAATTTGCCAACATGAAAAAAAAATTGTTCATTTGTCCATTTAGAGAAACTGGTTAAAGCCATCTCTGAATGCAATTCAGACTTAAAATAATTATGTATGTATATGTGAGGGTATATGTACCTATATGCACATACACAGATACTGAATTGGAAAGAGAACAAACTTGCTAAAAAAAGACAGATACAAAAGAATATATATAGCATAATCGTATAGCTAAACGTGTTTACAAACTACAAACAATCCTGAAATATAGTAAAAGACTCAACTGCTATGACAAACACTTAATTGGCAAATTAATATAATAATAAAATAGAATATTTATTCTAACACATTAGAAAGATATTAACATAATGCCCATTTTATTTCGGAGGGTATATGCCATGAACTATTCCTCAAATTGCAAATGGATGAATAATCGCAAATTATTTCTAGTGGCCAATTTGATAATTTACATCAAAGTCTTTGAAATGTGATTGCTTTTTAACCTGGCTAAATTACTTCTTGACATTTTTTTCTAATGAAATCTTGGCAGACAAATTAGTTGCCAGCAAAGATTTTTGAATATAGTCTTGTTTATAAAAAATTCTGAAAGTACTCAAAATGCTAAGTTAAAAATTACAAATTCCCTTAGTTAATTGAAACACTCACAAATTAATGTTATGTTTATACAGGCATTAAGACACTTTTTAAAATAAGTAATGATTTGGAAAACACTTAAATTATCATAGTGCTAAGTTAAAAACCAGAATACAAAGGTATATGATAATGATATGAACTGACATATGAAAAACATATACCTAAAAATTCCATTATTTCACAATTATGAAGGATTTTAATTTTCTTAAAATTAACATGTTCTAGTTATTTATAATTAGCATGTATTTTACTGCAACTTAATGCAAATAATTTCAAATGATGTTACCCACCATTTAGGTAAGCTTTCAAATTTTAAAAAAATAATTGCAAAATTATATAATCATTTAATTCTTAAAATCTTTGCATAGACATTACTATCTCTAATTTATAGACAAGGAACTGAAATTTGGATTGTTGAAAATACTTCCTCACTTTTCACATAGACTTTAAGTGGTGGAGAAACTTAAATCCCAGGATTTTATGTGGATGAAGAATGGAAGTTGATATAGACAAGTAAGGCCTTTGATTTAAGTGAAAAGTATATAGAAAGTTATTATTTCAATATAGTTTACTATTGTTATAGTTTTTTTTAAATAAAATGTCATTATATAAAAGTAAAATTATAACCTAAGTTTTGTGTTGTGAATCTTTACTATTCACTAAATTATCTTGCTATTTCTGTGTCAATTTCTAATTTTCGTCTGGGAAGTCAACATACAGGGACCAGAGCTCCTTCCTGACTTCTACATTGCTTTACAATGTTGGTTTTAAGTATACATTTAGCTATGCATAACAAGGACAACTGATGAAGAGTAGAATTTTAGTTCCCAGAAGCTGAGAGGATCAGGAAATGGCAAGATCTTGGTCAAGGGATAAAAAGTTTTAGTTATGTAAGAGGAATAATTTCTGAAAATCTAATGTACAGCAATGAGAATATAGTTAACAATTCTGTATTGTGGATTTAAAATGTCCTAAGAAAATAGATCATAAGTGCTCTCTCTCACACACACACATACAAACACACACTTAATTATGTGAGGTGAAGAATGTTAATTATCTTGATTGTGGCAATTATTCCACAATGTATTACATATATCAAAACATCAAAGCATATATGAAATATATGCAATTTTTATTTGTTAATGATAATGCAGTAAAGATTTGGGGGAAAATAAACATCTCATTGGCATTTTGGTAACAAGCACAACTAACTAAGCATACCTATGCCTTGTGTGTAAATTAGTAAGTTCTACAAAGGTTATGGTTCTTGTATATTCATTGAGTCAGTTGTTTGTTGATTTTATTAAATTAGAATATTTTATCACACAAAACTTTTGACTCAGTGTCATTCACCATTATTGATATTATTTCATCATGATCCATGATCTCAAGTCCACTTGTTAAAATCTTCACCTTCATATATAAACTTACACTTCAGGATCTTATACCTGTTTATTCATATTTGTTACTCATTTATAAAACCAGTGAGAAATGCTTTATGAATAATTTCCTGTCTGGTCACTTATGACCACAAACAACACTCTTTTCTTGTTCTTTATTTTTCTTCATTTTAATTTTTTTGAGAGCACCACTTATTCCAGTAAGGTTTCCTTATCTCTTCTTTCTCATACCACTCAAATGATATGCTTTGCTCAAATAATCTTTTCTTGTGCTTCTCTGTCTTCATTATTTACCTTGGATATCCTGCATAGTTTGTAACTTTAACTATGACTGGTATAGTATCTAAAAGTTTTTACTATAGCTTAAGCACATCTCCTGTGCTTGCCTTACTATTATATTCCAAATGTCTGAAAACTGTTTCCAGTTGAACATTCTATCAATGCTTCAAACTCAGTAGATCCAAATTCAATGAATGATATTATCTTACCTTAAAACATCCTTTCCTTTTCTTGACCTACTATTTTTGTTTGTGATAGAACCATTTTCACAGTCTCTCTAACTGTATTACCCTTTTCAGATATCCCAATGGTACTGTTTCAAAAAATAAAAGAGACTTTTTCATTAAAACCTTTTGAATTTCAGTGTGTGACATGTTCAGGCTGGCTTTTGTGAAATGAATGATACTATATAAGGAGTGACTTTAGAGAGAGGTTATTTGTATCTGTATCCATGAACAAAAAATAATCTTAGTTTAAGAAAAAAATAGATGTCATATTTTTACATGAGTGAATATTTGAACTTTTTAACAGCTGCCAAAATTTCTGTTAATATTTAGTTGCAATATGAGTTAAATGTGATATGTATTATCATATTATAATACATACAAATGTAATTTCTTATGAAAATTTCCAGTGCTCATCTTTTTATATTTAGTGCTTCACTTAGATGATTTGCAACAATTTATGGATCAGTCAAGCATAGAGAATGTGGAATAAAAAATGCTTGCTAACATGAATGTCAGCTATTTTTTTCTGGTTTTAAAATTCATTGTCAGATGAAACTTTAGAAGATCGAATTATCTTCTAAAATCTTTTAAGACATTTTGTTCTTGGTATTATTCACAAACTTTTTCCAACTACTGTTGACATATCAATTGACTTTAAATTATCATAAATCATCAGTGATTGGCTTAAGCAAATGTTGGGGACTCTATTCTGGTCATAAAGAGTTTTGGAATTTGTAGAATGTTAAAGTCTAATGGCAATTTCCTTTTTCAAAGGTGGACAGAGAAATTACAAATATTTTTGAAATTTGTATTTAGAAATCAGTGCTATCAACTGATGTATCTTGTGCTTAGTTTAATGGAAAAGAGTGAGAAATATTTGTGGACAATGATGAGCAATGGAAAGTTCTAGGCCATATTTACAGCCATATAAATGTAATGTGGAGTGTGCTTTATATAAAATTATGTTCTCTTTCACAGCCTTTTTTCTACATAAGAAAGTGGTCATTATAAGCTGTGTAAACAGATGTAGATTTACCATCTGTTGGGTTTGTGGGTGAAGTTTGCTTTAAAAATTTCCCAAACTGTGTCCCTGTTATAGCATTTTTTTCTTGTAGCTTTTATTATTTTGTATCATGTGGGTTGGTGTGTCCTATTTCTCATTTTATTCAATCTTTATGAAGTCAGAGTCCTTATGTTATCTTTAAGAAAAAAGCTATATATACGTTGTGATTACTCAAGCATACACTTAAGGCTATGTATGAAATTTTAGTAAAAATCTTTTATTCTGTCAATGTAATTGTAGCATATTTATTTAAGATTTAGCCTTACTATGCAACTAAATTTCAAGTAACTCTAATCTATTACTTTAGTTTCAAGGTAATCAATTCCAGAATGTGCTATAACAATTTTGTTCATACAACAGAATTACATCTATATATTCATATATTGTATCATAGGAGATTAAGCTGTATGTCAGATGATTTGCCAATGTTAAATCTGTTGGCAACATTCAGTAATGTCTTTGTTACTAAAATAAAAAGAAAAATGATAAGCTTAATAATTTATATTCTCATATGGAAATGAAAAATTGTTATATAATCCCATCATTGCCTTCTCTTTATGATTCCTTAAAATAGGTTTTCATGTAAAGTTGTACTTCAAAGGTTACATTTTTTAATAAATGTAAGACCAACATTAGATGTCAGGGAAAATTTATTGGTGTTTGATAATACATATTATTTTTTGTAATACTTGGTGAGTCCCCCGTTCTATTTTGATTTATATTTTATTCTTCTGATTCATATTTTAGAGAGGTTAGTAGATTTACAGTGAAGTAGCAAGAAGTTCTGTCTCATTCACTCCTGCTAAATATTTTACAGTTCTACAGAACGTGATCTATAAACCATCATCATTTTCGGGAAGCATGTTCCAAAAGAACTACAGACATGAAAAACCACTGAAGTTTAATATTTTTTATAGCATAACAAATGTAAGGCTATCACAGCACCACCGTAATTTAAGATGGGATAAGGTTATCCATTGCAACTCTTAGGCCAACATGATGGAATCTGCTGCCAGAATCCAGACAAGCTAATTAATCTCTTCTTTATTATCTTCTTGATAAAGCTGTACATTCTAAAGTAGAGAATTTCAATTAAAATTCATGTTTCTTATATAAGGCTCTAAGTTTTTTTTTTTTTAAATTTCCAGGCTTTAGGGCTCATATTGCTTTCCAAACCAGTGCAACACAAATTTGATCCCTTGACCACACTGGGTTCCTTCATGTTCTGATAATACATGTCAAGCATACTATGTCTTCTATGTTTTAATTACAGAGCTCAAGATACTATTCTCTTATCTAAGATCAACATAAAAATACTCTCAATAAGTATTATTTGACGTGATATTAATATAGACCTCTCAAGACCATGTTATCAAAGTGTTCTCTCATTTTTCCTAAACAAGTTTGCAAGGACCAAAATTGGAAACTGTTAACAAAATACAAATCTGTTTTATGTCCTTATGAACTGTTCAGCTGTATCCTCCTTCCTGTTTTCTACTTGAATAGCTGATTGCCATATTAGAAATATAAAATAATGAATTTTTAATATAAATTTGGTACATGTTTTACATTTAAGAAAAACAGTAACAGCATCTATATTCAATAAATTAAACATAAATAGGTAAATATATTCTTTGAATTTATCTTTCCCTCTTCAGGAAGCAGAATGGCCAATATCATAGGCTTTGGGAACCTGCATATGCTATTTGTCAGCATTCTTATTGGTGTATGTATGCCCCTTTGTCAAAATTTCACTTGAGAAAGAAATTTAGATGATGTTTGCATGGGCATATTTTCCATATCAGCTGACTTTCAAGTAGGATTTCCAAGGTACTAATATACTTAAAAGGCTAAGGCTAGACAAAGATTTTCTGTAACTCAGTTTACCTTCTATGAAATCATAGACTGATTTATCCTATGATTATTTTAATCAAAAGTACAAACTTTCATAAAAATAAATTATCAACTTAATTGTGATATTAAGGAATAATTCAATGAGTATTGCAGTTCTCTATAAGAGGGAGACCCTGCTTAAATTCAGTTTACTATTTGTTCTTCCTCTAAAATTTATGCCAAAGTTAAACTAAACATTTGGAGTTCTGGGAAATTTCCATGATCATATATTTTCCTAACATGGCACTATTGGCTACTTTCTAAATTAATAAAATTCTGTTAACTCATAATATTCATGGTATATAATACTTGGTAAAATTAAAAGTAAGTTAAAACAACTGTTTTTAATTAAATAAAATACAACAAAAATTATATTGAATAACTTTCTTCTCAGTCCTTAAAAATACTTTCAGTCATGTATAGAATTACAGTGTCAAGAAACATTTTAAAAAATAGTTTACCTTCCTCTGGTGGAATTTGCCAGCTTTATCTTTCCTGTAGAATGAACAATGCATATAAAAATGAGGTCAAATGATCCTGTGAGCAGTGTTTGCTTGGTAGGGTGGGTGGCAGAGTTTTGATTGTTTTTTCTTGGTGTGAACTGTTGTCATCACCAGTTCCATTTTAGCACCAGAAACGACCTCGCACAACTAAAGAAATATACTTCAGTGTTGGGTTTTACCACATATACACAAATATGCATCTGGCATTTTGGGTCTTACATTTGAAATTCTTTGTTTCTGTTTAACTTCATAAGTATGAATAGCATACTGGACTTTGTGACATAAAAGTTGAAATGTAAGCATTGAAAAGTTAAGTAAAGGTTTAGCCTCTGAAGAAGATCAGCAATTAATACAAGAATCATTGTCTTGCATGGATATCATGGGGATTATTTAATGTGTTACCTGTTCATAGTAGATGACTATAGTTTATGTATTTTCATGGAAAAAGAAAGGATATAAATTGTAAGGGTAATTAGAAGGCATGTAAGACCCAATAATTAGGAAATCAGTAATATCTCAACAGTGTTTTCAGGAAACTGGTTTGGTTTGGATTGCTAATTCTATACATGCTTTCCTAAAGCTGCCTATAACTATTTAAAATTCAAGTAACAGATAATTAGTACACTGCCTTATAACTTACACAGGCTGTGCAGCTTCTATTCAGTTTTTAATTAGAATTATGAGTAAATTATTCATTGTCTGTTGGAGTTGCCTGGAGGAGAGAAAGTAGTTGACGGTTTCATAAGTCAAGGGAGAGAGTTGCCACTTAAAATATAAAATTATTGAGAAAAATGTGGTGAAAACTGTTATCATTTGGAGAATCTTATTGTGTCTTACAAATTTCTCATTTTTGTTATTGGATATTCAAAGATTTCTAAATAACTTTAAAAATAAGTGAGAAAATTTATGATGATTTTTGTTGTTAATTTTTCATCTTAGATGTCATTGATTTCTATTTCCTTGATCCTTAGTAGTAATTCAATTCTTAATGCCATAGTATTTGGCTGATGTATTAAAATGTAACTGTGCTTCCTCAGGTTTCAAGTATTTTAATAATATTTAAATAAGATGAAATAAGCTACTTTTAGTATTTATGCTATTGAAACCATTTTTGGCTTAGACATTTTGGAAACCTTGTACCAATAAGTTTAGTAGTTATTTTCTGACCTTTTAAGTTGGCAGAAAACTGGCCTATTTCCAGAAATTGTAATAAATTCTTTGAAATTTAGATCACCACTTAGACTCATAGGATGTCAACAGAGCTAGATCATTTGGCCATGCTTTCATTTTCATTCCCACTTTAGTACGTCTTTTTGTGGTCAAGAAAATGGTTTATAGTATAATATATTCGCCTCAAAAATGTCAGTTCATTTTAAAATCAACCTCTTTTTTCTATATGACAAAAAACTCCATGTACCTTTCATTTCAGGGATGTTCTTTTCTATCATTCAATGGGTTCTTTCTTTCTCTCCTCTCTCTGTGTGTGTGTGTGTGTGCGTGCACGCGCGCGTGTGTGCATCTGTATTTGTATGTGTGTATGTGTGTTCTAAAACCTGTAAAAATCCAACATCTTCACCATGGGGTTCTTTGGTAATTGACTTATTTAGCTGTTCTCTAAATTGACTCACTCAGGAAAGTGTCCCTATAATTATTTTATAGCACCATCATTACCTTATCACAAAAATAGTTCTTGCAGGTGAAAGTAAGTTTCCCATTTTTAGAAGATTGCACTACAATAATCTGTGCTTATTCTCTTCTGTTTTATTGCATACAATTCAAGGCAATACACATTAAAATTTTTGTTTTCAGTGCTAGAGCTTAGTGTGTTTCATTGAATCTCTTCTCAATGTGTATAGTACCAAAGGAAGTTGTTCCAACTGTTTAGTGTAACAATTTAGTAAAACATCCTTAAAAGACTTACATATATTAGAAAGAAGAGTGTAAGTGCACTCAAAATTTGAGGATCATTATAGAATGTAAAATAATTTATTTAGCATAAGTTTGGATACTGTAGTTAGGTAGAAGTCAGTATATATAGACTTGCTCTCACCCAAAAAAAAATTTTGCCTTTAAAAGTTTCCACACAGTCTTATGTTTAATTTTTTACATTTAAATAATTGTTTTAACTCTTGTAAAAAGTACCATAATTGAAAAAGCATGTGTTGTATTGGCTGATTTATTTTGGCTTTATCTGGAAAATGGAATATCCAAGGAAATTAGAGGTTATACTGTGTTTTCTGATATCTCTAATTAAAATGTAAACATTTAAAAATAGAACGTAATACATATATTTGTATTTTTATTTTTAAACATTTTAGATATAGCAATTAAATATTTATGCAAACTATTTATCAATGCCACAAATTATCATATTTGCTTGTGTTATCTTGCACAATTATGTACAGCTTAGGTGTGATTTATGTGGACATTGGGTATTCCCTGTGGTACTAATATAGTGCACCAACTCAGCTCTTGGCCTTTTCCAATCTAATTTCATGAAAGATAATCAACTAGTTAAAAATAATAGAATACATTTTTCTCTACATGAAAACAGATTCATTATGGAAAATAATTGAAAACATATATATGAATTATCCCAAAAACCTTTCTTCTTGGACTCAGTCACATAACAATACAAGTACATTAGTACATAAAGTAAATGTTCAGGAATAGGGAATGATTTCTCATAGATCACTTTTCCTGCTTAGAACAATTAAAAATGCTGAACAATTGTTTTGATATGTCTTAAAACATGGTAAAGGTAAAATGGTTGTAATTTTCACCAAAGCAATGTAAGAAGATGGATATCCAGAGATATCAGCCATGATCTCTTTGGCCAATTTTGAAAAAGTTGCTTGTGAGATTAAAAACTCAATAGCTTTAAAAAATTGAGGAAGAGAGGGGATATTTTCTATCTGGTACAAAATTTTAAAAAGTTTGCCTAGTAAAATCCCGTCTTGAAAGAAGTTGAAAACCTCAAAGTGGCCACAATTTAAAAGGAAGAATGACTTGAACATAAATATATCCTTACATGGTACTATGACCTGAATGTTTGTGTACCCTCTACATTTCTGTGTTGAAATCCTAACCCCCAAGATGATGGTATTGGAGGGTGGGTGGAGCCTTTAAGGCAATATTAGGTCATGAGAGTGTAGCCCTCATGAATAGGATTAGTGTCCTTACAAAACAGACCCAAGAGAGATAGCTTGCCTCTTCTGTCATTTGATGTTACAGGGAAGAGACAGTGAAGAGATAGGAAGGAGGCCTATACCACACCTTGAGTCTGCTGGTGCCTTGATCTTGGAAGTCTCAATTTCCAGAATGAAATAGAAATAAATTTCTATTATTTGTAAGCCACCAGCTTATGGTATTCTGTTATGGCAGCCCTAAATCGACTAAGACTCATGAACTACAGGACCATTTCAAGCCATCTTATTTTTTGCAATTAGATTTTGGTGGTACTGGACTGCTACTGAACTTCCAGGCCTGCCAAATGTAAAAATATTTACTTTTTATATAAGAAAAGATAATTTCATTCCCTGCCTCACATGCTTTCCATCAGCAACTTAAAAAATGTCATGTCACTAACAGATTGAGAAATAACCATAGATTTAAGGAAAAAGGACAATTTGAACAAAAACTAGTAGAAAAAAATAGAGAATACAGCAGTCCCCAAGGGCTGCAAGCATTTGAGGTAGACTTTAAAATAACTGTTCTCTCTGTTCAAGAAGAAATGGTAAGATTGACAAGCTGTAAAAATATCAAGTGAAAATTCTAAAATCGAAACAAAGCAATAAACAAATCACAAACAAAATATAGAAACATAACACCAAAAAAACACAGCTAAAAAGGAAGGTATGGGAATTGATAATTATACCAAATGAACCTCAAGCAACTGAACAGTTGGAAAATATATAAAATAGATCAAGTTAGAGCATAAAAGAAGAAGGTATAAAATACAGGCACTTGGAATCCCAAAAGACACAGTGATAAAGAATGTCACAGAAGCAATATTCGGAGATATAATAATCAATAGTTGCCCCAAACAGGTACTCTCAAGTCAGTTTCCAGAAGTTCTATAAGGCAGGAGCAAGATTGAAATTATCTATCTTTATTCCTATCCTTCTATCTTTTAATCCATCTATATATCTGTGTATCCATGTACCTATATAGTCCCCTGGGCATTTCATAGCAAAATTGCAGAAAACCAAAGAGAAAGTGATCTTTAATTTAAAAGTATTTTTAGACATAATTCACATACCATAAAAATTCACTTTTTAAAAGTGTACAATATACCCATTTATAGAAAACTCACAAAGTTGTGCAATCCTTGCCACTATTTAATTCCAGAACATAATACTTTCAAGGTTAATTAATGTTGTAGCCTATATCCACAATCCATTCATCTTTTAAAATAACTGTTGGATATATTCCCTTGTATGCATCTACCACATTTGTTTATTCATTCATCAGTTGATACATTTGGGCTATCATCATACATGTACATATTTTTGTGTGGGTATATGTTGTCATTTTTCTTAGGATAAAATTGCTATGCTGTATGATACCTCTATGTTAAACATTGTGAAGGACTGCCAAAGTGTGTTCCAAAGTGCATTACCATTTTACCTTCCCACCAATGGTATATGCAAGGTTCCATTTCTCCACATTTTACCAACAGTTGTTACATCTTTTTTTAATTGTTGTCATCCTAGTGGGTGTGAAGGGGTATTTCGTTATGGTTTTGTTTTGCATTTTCTCTAACAGCTAATGATAGTGATCATATATTTTTGAACTTATTGACTGTTTATATTATGTATTTCTTTGGAAGAACTGTATCTTCAAATTCCTTGTCCACTTTTAATTGAGACAGTTGCCTTTTTATTGTTATCTTATGAGTTCATTCTATATACTGAATTAGTGGTTCCTTATAAGATATAATTTGGAAATATTTTCTACCATTCTATGGGTTGTCTTTACACTTTTCTGATGGTGTCCTTTGAAACATAAAATATGTTAATATTTTTTGTCACTTATGATTTTGTTATATGTAAAAAACTATTGCTTAATCCAAGGTCATGAAGGTGTATTCATAGATTTGCTTCTAAAAGTTTTATAGGTTTAGCTCTTATATTTAACTATTTGGTCCATTTGTAGTAATTTGTTTTGTATAATGTGAGATAAGGGTCCAACTTTAGTATTTTGTATGTGGATAAACAAAATAATACCAAAAGGATATTCTATGCTTATTGAATCATCTTAGCATCCTTGTTAAAAATTACTTGACCATAAATGTGAGGAAATATAACTGGATTCACAATTCCATCATGGATCTTTTATAACTACATTTATGTTAGTAAAGATTGTCTTTATTAGTGTTTCTTGTGGTAAGTTTTAAAAATACAAAGTGCAAGTCTTCCAAATTTGATCATCTATTTCAAGATTATTTGGACGATTTTGTGACTCTGTCATAGCTGCAAACATTTTCAAATCAGCTTGTTAATGTCTAAAAAAAATCAGCTTGGATTTCAGTAGGGCTTACTTTGAGACTATAGAATAATTTGGGAATTTTTGCCACCTTAATAATGAATTTTCCAATTCATGAACACGGGACATCATTCCATTTGTTTAGATCTTCTTTAACTTTTTTCAGTGAAGTTTGTAGTTTACAGTATATAGCTCTTATATTACTTTTGATTATATTTATTTTACCATTATAAATATTAGCCTTTATTATTTTTGAAGATGTTGCTAATGGGACTTGATTTCATTTAGGGATTGTTTATTGCATGTGTACAGAAATATTATTGATTTTCATGTATTGATTATTCATCCTGTGAACCTGCTAAACCCACTCTTGGTTCTAAGTTTGTGTGTGAATGTGTGTGTGTCTATTCCTTAGAATTTTCTATATGGAAAATTGTGTCATATGCCATAGAGATAGTTTTAATGTCCCTTTCCAAATAAGTTGTCTTACTTTTTTTTCCCTAATATCCCTGGAAAAAATATTCAGTACAATGTTGTGGTCTGTTCCTAATCTTTCTGGGGAGAACTTCAGTCTTTCACCATTAAGTATAATGTAGCTGAGGATTTTCTTTTGGTAGGTCTTGGAAATAAAATCTCACAAGAAGCCAAAGGGTAAAAAGAGAAAAAGTGAACTGTTAATGAATAAAAGTAAGAAATGCAACTAATTTTTCATATGAAGAAATGGAATTCATAAGATGATAAAATATTTTGAATATGTCACAGAAGATTTCTGAAAAATAGGATTCTGTTTTAAGAAAAATATCTTTCAAGGATAACCATATGATATATTTTCTGAATTTATTACAAGTAGACACACTCTAAAATAAAATTTAAAGTATATTGTTTGAGCAAACAGGAGATAATTTGAGATGAAAGCTTGAAGATGTGCAAATAAATTAAAAAAAAAAAACAAAGAAAACTTAAATATATGCAAAGCTAAGGGATAAAAAATAACCCCTGTGAGATTTAAAATATAGATAAACATTTACAAAAACATCATTTGTCAAGAGTTAGCTTAATGGAGTTATGGTATTTTGACATACTTGCATGAACTGTGTTAGAAAAAAAAAGTACCAATTAATGTTAGAATTTATTTGCCAAGCATTTTGTTTTGTGTATACTAGGATAGCTACTGTTATAGGTTTAACCGTGTACCCCTAAAGTTATATGTTCAATTCCTAAACCCCATTGCCTAAGAATTTGGCCTTATTTGGAAGCACAATCTTCATAGCACTAATTAAGTTAAAATGAGATCATTATGGTGGCCCCTAATTGAAATGAGTGGTGTCCTTATAAGAAGGGGAACACAGATACAAGCACACAAGACAGAACACATTATGAAGATGAAGGCAGAGACTGGGGTTGTACATCGAGAATTCAATGAGTGATGAATATTGCCAGCAAATCACCAGAAGCTAGGAGAACCGTGAAACCGACTCTTTTTCACAGCACTCCGAAGTAACCAACATCGCTGGCACCTTGGTCTCTGGAACTATGAGGCAATTGATTTCTGTTGCTTAGCCACCCAGTTTGTAATGTTTTGTTATGACAGCCCTAGAGATCTAATACAGATTTTCTAAAACAGTGTAAATAGTATATATGTTTCAAGATAATAAAGATAGATAGATCTAGATCTGTCTACATTCACATAAATGTGTAATGATAAAACAATATTTCATAAATCAGAAGTCAAGAGAGGTGATAAAAAAAGAAGCAGAGAAAATGGAAAGCATATAGTAAGAAAAGGAAAGTGTACAGTAATGAAACTGAAAGGAAAAAAATAACAAATGCAGTAAAAGTATAATCGTAGAATTAAGCAGTCTTCTCTTAGCAATCAATAGATCAATAGACCTGAAAATCATTAAAAATACAGAAGGCCGGAACAACACATTTAAATAACTTGACCTAAATTAATTTATATAACATACGCATGATTTCCAAGTGCATGTGAACATTTGCCGAAATATATCATACTCCAAGCCATAAAACAAAGTTAACATATTTAAATGATTGTAGTCTTGCAAATATGCAGTTTACAAATGTATAAATGTATACTTTTTCCCCTGAGAATCTTTTTTAAAAACAACTCACAATTATTTCAGTTAATATTGTAATATTCATTTTTCCTCAGTTATCTGCTCATGTATGATTAAGCTAGAGTCAGGAGGGGCTGCTGTCTGTATTATAATAATATGGGGAAATGGAGAAAACACTTGTTTTAGTCTCAGGGATGCATCTGATAAGAACCAGGCAAACTTGTGCAGAGTGCCAGCTAATTGATACCTTAAGCTTTGGAGCCATCTGGTATCTACCACAACTATTCAAATTTGCCATTATAGTGTGAAAACTGTCATGGACAATGCATAAACAAATGAGCCTGGCTGGGTTTCAATGAAAATTTGTGGACCATGTCATTTGAACTTTATATAGCTTTCATGTGTCAGAAATATTATTCTACTTTTCAATTTTTCTTCAATAGTTAAAAAAATGTAAAAATAATTTTTAATTCATGGATAATATAAAAGCAGGAATCGGATGAGCTTTGGCCCATATGCTTTATCCTTGCTCTACATACCTGAAGTAGAATAACTATATTGGCAATCCTTCTTTGTCAATAAAGACATGCCTTTTACACTCACTTCTTTACCCACCCGCTCGTCCCCTCACCATTGATCTAGTACACTGGCCCAGAATGTCCTTCTTTAAGAGTGACAAAGACATTTCCAATTTTAGAATTGTAAAACAAGAAAATTAAATTTTAACATATTTCATGTAAGAAACATATGGACAATTTTAATGCAGTGTTTAATTTCATTCTAGAGTCTTTAATCTTTGAAAAAATGGTAATTCAGCTCTATTTTAACTCTCTTTTATAGTTACAACATGTTATGTTGGATGGAAATTTTCTTAAACCTTACGAACTGTGTTTTCAAAACTAAAGTTTTGTATCTGTTATGAAAATGAATTTTAAAATACATAGGAGAGAATAAAAGTAGTTAAAGTTACCTAAAAAGTAAATAAACATTTGAAAAAGCTCTAAAATAATGGAGAACTCAAGAGGTGCATAAAGAGATTTTGAAAATCAGATTTGGGACATGGCTATGAGAACTTTAGAACCACAAATTATTTCTGCAGTGACACAGACTCCTGACCCCTAAATTTTGGCAATTTAGTACTGAAGGGATTAGATTTCTGATAACATGAATGTATTTTGGAAAAAAACAAGAGCATGAAAAATATGTGTTTGGTTGGGAACACACAGACACACACACACACACACACACACAAACAGAACAGGAGGCCTTGTTGCAGTGACAAGAGAAGTCACGTGTGATTTTCACTGGATAGGCCAAGGATGATGGAGATTGTCACAAAACAAAACATTTTCAAGTCCTGGCTTGTCCTCAAAAAGAAATGTCTCATTTTAATTTTTAGTTTTAGGGCACAGAGCACCTAAACACCAATGAGAATAATATAAGAAAAATTATCAGGATTATCAGGACTGTTTTTCTTAATAATATAAGAAAAACTATCAGGACATGGAAATATATTTATGTAATAGTTTTAAAGTAGCCAAAAAAATAAAATAAAATAAAATAGCCATAAAGTGGTAATCAGAATTAGTTAATTGAAAAATGGAAATTTATAACATTATATTCTTTTTGTTGTATGTAATGTACTATATGTGTCTAATATTAAAATATCAAAATGTAGACTTACAGTCACAGGCCTAAAGCTGATGACTGATGTGAATTGAGAATTACCTTCCCAAAATAAAATAAAAACTTAGAACTGCTCATTGTCAGGTAGTGTTACCGAGGATTTTCCTCTCTATCTCACGCATTCTAATTATTTCTTGTATTTCAAGCTCAAGAAAATAACAATATTTTATTTTATCTGCATTCAGAATCATTGCTTTCAAAAGCTGACCCATGGATTATGTCACTTGTCTCATAGAATCCTGAGAAATGGACAGAACTGGTGTTATCTCCATTTATACATGGAGAAACTGAGATTAAAGACCAAGTGTTGTAGTCAAATACACTTGGTAACTGGCTGAAGTAGAATTTAGTTTGCCAGACTCCAAAGTCCATGCTCTTTCCATTAAAACACACTACTTTTTTCTGTAACTGTGTATTCCTTGCAATGGTTTGCCTGTTTCAGATGTTTAATAGTTAACCATAAGTAAGACCTTATATTTGTAGAATGCTTTGCTATTTAACCAAATTTTCACATAGATTACTTGAGGTTATGGACCATGTGAGGAGGCGGGGAAACTAAAAATATTTCAATTTATACAGAAACCATCTGGATTTTAGAATGTTTGACCTAATTTTGTTGGCAAGTATACTCAGGCATAAATAAAGGATACTGAGATTTGATCTCTATTCTTTTACTTCCAAGTATTTCAAGTTTTTCTGTTACTACATATTGCTTCACAATACATATTCTTATTAGTTGTTTGTAAATGAATATAGTTCTGTATTTGTAAAATGCTTTCACATAAATTTTGTCAGTGTCAGAACATCTCTTTGAGATAAGTAAGGCAGCATTGTGAAGGGGAAACAATTTAGAATTTGGTAATAGAAAGACAATGAATCAAATGCTTTATCTTTCCTTTTGTTTTTCTTTCTTTGAAATTTTCTTACTGTATGTTTATTATATGATAAGAATTATTCTGAGACTATAAGTGAATCTATAAACATAGCATTGAAGATTCTATAAATAAAATTGGAGGAAATGGGCAAGGCAAAAATGCATAATTTTGCAATAAATTCAGGCTCATGCTCTGAGAGAGGCTTGTACATTATCCTATGGGAATATCAAAAAAGAGCCATGGAAAGTAGAGAGGAGATTTAAGGGAAATCTTCCTGAAATGGATGACATTTGAGCTGAATTTTAAAAGATGAATAATAGCAATATCACATAGAAAGAAACTTACATGCTGGCAGAAAAATGGATCAGGAAACATTTAGACAGTAAAACAATATCTTTAGACAGATTAACAAGTATACTGGGGGAATCATAGGAAGTGACCAGAAAGTTAAGCAGTAGCCAACTCCTTATTGCTTACTGAAGATAAAATGAAAAGACTTACATGATAATCTAAAGAGTATAAAATATACACCAAAATTTGTGTCAAGACATAGATTTTAAGTAGGTTATACCATGAAAACTTTGTGGCTTAGAAAAATCAGTGTAGATGTAGAAAAAGAGTGTAGATGAGAAGAGATAGAAGGTAGGGAGATATAAGAATATAAATAGATGAATGAGACCAAAAATTGAGGCCTCAGATGTCAGTAAATAGTAAATTGGGAACCAGGAACAGGATAGGTAGTTTTGGGGGAAAATATAATAAATATAATTATAGAGACATTTGGTTTGAATTTCTCGTGATATCCACAGGTATATGGAATTTACATATACAAATCTTGTGCATATCAGAGAATTCTTGGCTAGAATTTTTAAGGAAATATAATTTTTAAGGGAAAATAAAAAATTTATTCAAATGCCATCTTTAACGTGGGATGAACGAAAGGCTGAGTAAAGAGCTTGGAAAATATTGAAATATAAGGATAAACATCAGAGACATCTACAAAAAGTGTGGAGAAGAAATGGCCAAGAATTAGGGCCATAAAATTCAATGGGGTGGTTGCCAACAATGCCAAGTAGTCAAACAAAAGATAAGTGCCCCCAACTTTGAAAATTTGAAGGTTATCAGTATATTCATCTATAATTGTATAGCTTTATGGCCTTGGGTAAGTTATGTCTCAGATAATTTGGTCAAAACCAATAGAATATAGCAGTTACATTAAAGGTTTCATGAAGAATTAAAAACAATATGCAAAGTATTCAAAACAGTCACTATTTTAGAGAGGACATTTAAAAATGTCTCTCTAATACATTTCCTATACCAGTAATCTGGAACTGAGATAAAGAAAGGAAAAGTTAAAAACTGAAAGTTACATGACCAGAGAATAACAACCTTGGAACTCAAACCCAGCTCTCCAAATTTTACATCCAGTAGACCATAGTTAGCTTTCATAAATGCTGAGGTTAAAAAACAAAAGAAAACAAACAAAAAAAACGCTGTACTGATTTTTAAAAACATATAGAGCAACAAATATGAGAAAAATTTTGGCACAAAAAATCAAATTGTGGCAGAAATATTAACAGTGGTGGGAAATATTCTAGACGTCCCATTGTAACTCATTTCCCATGTCCCATCAATCACCTTGAAGTTAAAACTTTGACTCTTCGTTACTCTCATTTCTAATTGTTCATTTCAAAATTATGCAGTAATGACACTTACATCCCTCTCTTCTCTCTCTCCAACTGTTATTTCTAATTGTTTCAAATTTCATGATAGTGGAGTAATGACATTTACACCATTTTTTCTTTCAAAGCTACAAAGTAAGGAAAAGAAACACAATTCTGTCTTTGACAAAACCAGGATATCTACAATACCAAAACTTAATATGAGTGAGTATAGAGTAGATGGAGAGTTGTTAAGTGACTTAGCAGTGCTGAGAGAGGTCAGAATTAAGAACCTACGGAAGTAGATATTAATGGGAAGTAATTTGACTTATCTGGGAAAACTCAGGAAAAGCTTGGTAATTGATAGAGGTTACTGGTAACTGAAAACGAAGAGCTATTTTGAACGTGTGCTCAAAAAAACATTTAAATTCTGTGGGCCTCCTGACTTTGTACAGTCTAAAAGATGTCCCTCCCTGACCCATATAAAAGACAATAGATACAAAAATTAAGCCAAAATGTCATTGGCCTATTAAATGCAAACACAAAGGAGATAAAACGGAAGTATTAGGTAGTATGACATACCTAGAGCACTCTTTCTACATTAACGTTTAGAATGCCCACTGCCAGGTCACTGGATGATAGAACCAGAAGGGGTCTACAGAGTTGGCCAGTAGAAGTTCACATGTAATAAGAATATTGGCTATACAAGCTATCTATAATGGATCTCAATAATTAATGCATTGTGCCCAGATGTAGAGTTCTTCCAATTGGCTTCTTAATCTGTTATACTTAAACTTGAATAGAGGGGCAAAAATTATGTGTTGTTTTAGACAGATTTCCAACATAAAAGACAGATCCCAAAAGAGCAAGATAAGAAGGGAAGCTCAGAATTTTTCCAGGAATATTGTGGCATGTTCTCACTATTAAAAATACAAACAAAAAAATAGCAATATTTAAAAAAACCCTCTCAGTGCAATGCTAAAAGTTTGTTGGTTGCATGCTTGGTTGGGACTCAGAATGCTTCATAGAACTTGCATTTTTGGAATAGTTTGGAATTGTTTCTATTAGAAATGATTCCGCAGTGCAAATTCATAAAGGCAGAAAGTGTTGCATTATCTATGGGTGTATATCTTTTGTGCTGAAATAAAATTACAATTTTAAATAGGACTTACCATAATACAGTTTTATTTTAACTGGAATAAAATTTTGAAACATATGTCTTTGAAATTACAATACTTTCATTTAGAGATACCCAGGTTATGAATAATTTCCTTGTTTTTAAACCCTGTCCTTTTTCTCTGCCACCAAATAAAGCATATTTGAACTAAACTAAGACAAGTTTAGTCAACTAATTTTAAAAAGGAAATTATCTACAAATGTTGACTTTCTGTTATCAACACAAACATATTTCTTTGCAAAGGGCCTAAAACACTAGTGAGCCAAGACATGGCATCTAAGAATATGACTATGACATAAGAATTACATTTGTTTCACATTGTAAAAGAATGTTACTGGGCATTAATTTTAAAACTCTTTAGCTTTATCATTGATTATTAATTAATTTTTGAGATAAATTATTAGGCCTATTTTGACACATTCCATAATTGTTCAGTCCAACTAAGGAGGTGTAGTTCAGGCAATAGCTCCTGGTCGAACCACAGAAGCTTGGATATACATTCCTTATAATATTTCTTCTTCTAAAATATTTGGTTGTTTTATGCAGTTATCAAATTGGGGGTCTACAAAAGCATGAATAGTTTATTGTGACTGGTGATTGTATGTTGTAGACAACTGCTTATTTTAAATACTACAGAATGAGAATATTTGATGTATATTGTGTAATATCTGATTAGAAAATCATCTACCACCCCTATAGATTGTTATTCCCTTAAAGCAATTTATAAGGTTGGTATGATATTACAAAAGATTTATTTACTTTATGTTCTGTGCCTTCTAGTATAACATAGCATTAATGAATTTCATTCTATAGCCCATTTCTAGATTATGGTTGCCAGAAAAAATAATGCACAATACGCTATACATGATATAGGCTCAAGAACAGTACCTTAATGACATATAAATATAATGGTACTTGATTTATATTTTTATATCAAAGAAAACATGTTAAAGTTATAATATGGGGGGAAAAAACCTGTCATAAAAATATAACCTTTTCCTAAATAATTTATAATAGAAACAAAAAGGAATTCTTAAAGAAAACTTTCAGATATTTTGCTCAAAATAGATATAATATTTTAAGAAATTACATGACTATATAATTTTCATGCATTTTTCTAACCCAGACTAGTTTAGAGAACTAAATTTTTCTTTTATCTAAAAATTCTACTTTTCTAGTAATTTTTATGCTATTAATTGTAATAGCTTCTCTGATCTCAAGAACAGTAAAACTTACAACAAATATCTTTTTATGTTTGAATTTTGATTTCTATGACTGAGTAGGCAATAATTAACTACCTTGTCAAATAACTTAGGTTAAAATTCAGAGATAAGAATAATGTCAGTGGTAGGTAAGTATAGAAATAGAAAAATCTGGGAAATAATTAAACTCTATAGATTTGATTAGAGATTCTAAATAAGATTAAAATATTCAATGGCTAGTAAACATTTCCATAACATGACCTAATGTATCGTTTACATCAAGACATTGTATGATCCAAGTTGTTATAATTATTTTAATAGTGGTGTAGATTACGTAATCACAGAGGCCTATTAGTTGAGTTAACATTTCCCAAGATCATTTAAACCCATAATAGAAAATATTTCAATAGAATAGGTGCTATTAAAGAAAAACTAAGAAATCGACACTCTAATGGAGATATTTTAAGGAGTCAATGAAGTCAAAACACTTAAAAGAGTAACTTGCTAAGAAAATTGAGAACTGAGTCAAATAACAGATGTAGGAGTTTGTAGAGGTTGAGCAGTTCTAGAGAAGAATAAGGTCATTATTTTTTGTTTTAGAATTGAGTGGCTAAAATAGAATAGATGAAAATGTCACTAGAGTTTAAGTTAAGGGACTGGGATGCCAATTTGTCAGAGGGATAATCCAAGTAGATTTTTCCATTATCTTTGATGAGAAACTGAGAAGCAGAAGCAAAGAATGGGAGGCCAGGGAAAGACTGATGAAGATGTTGGTAGATGATGTAGAAAGGAATAAAAAGGTGTGTGTGACTAAGTTTAAGTACCAAAGAGCAAGGGTATTTTGGATAATATCAGAGGGAAATGGTCTGGATAATTATGAGTAGAGTATGTGGAATGCCATCCTCATGTCACAGTCCTAATGACTGAGGAATGTGGAGGAAATTTCCCTTAAATTGAGAGGGTAGCAGTAAGATAATTTGTTCTCAGGAACAGCCAAAATTTAATTGAAATATTCAGCAATGATTATATGGTCAAATTTGTTAACTGAGGAATATAGTTCTGAGAGAGCACAGTGGGAAATTTTAGGAGGAAAGGGAACTGAAGGAAGTTGGACTTGGAAAGAGGAAGTCCAGAAAATATGGGAACAGGAACAATATGAGAGGATATATAATTTATAGTCATATATCTGGGCCAAAGATCTAAGACTACAAGAATACGGGATATGGTTAAAGGAGCCAAAATTTTGACAGCTGTCAGTCCCAGAAATTGGACAGCATAGGAATTGAATGAAAAGTACTCTGGGTCTTTTTAGGATTTAATTGTTGCTGGAATACACTATAATTCCAAGGGAGTCTCTGAAGCAGTCTTATTACTATTTTTACTTTCTCCTCCTCTTATGCAATCAAATCTAATTAGGCACTAGGTCTCATTAATTATATTTCTTGACTATTTCTATTATCTCTCCTTCCTCCCTTCACCATTGCTGCTGTCACCAACTTAGCTTGTGTTAATTCTCTTTGAAAAGAAGTTAAAAGTTAAAGCAATTAAAATCTACAGACTGAAGCTTGGCTGATTTTCTGAAATACAGATCTTCCTTGTTACTCTTCTGTTAAAAATATATAAAGGTATTCTCACTGTTTATTAAATGCCTTGGCATGTTATGCAAGGATCTTTATAATCTGGAAACTTTCTAGTGGCATTTCCTGCCTTTGGACATATTCAGCCAAAGCTTTAGCAGAGTCAAACTGCTAACATGTCTCCAAACACAATGTAATTACTTAGTCAATGCTTTGACTTGCTTAATTTTTATCTACACTGCAATGCTTTTTACATAATAGACAACTTTCTGTTGAATAAATAACTGAGGAAATCATATTGAGTGCTGTCACTAAAATTTCCAAGAACAATTCATGTCAAATGTTTTAAAAATGAGGACAGTTAATCAAAATATTCATTTTATAGGGTTAATAACCCACAAGACAGTGACTAGAAAGCTAGTCATAAAATGAATCTATACATTTCAGCAAACGTTTCCAAGACTCATTTAATCTACAAACTCCCCCTTTGGAAAGAAATAATTCAGGAGAAAATTCTACTAATCCCTCTGGCATGATCAGTAATAGCAATTGCTTCAGTGTTGTATTTGGTGAAACCTGTTCAAAGTCAAATTTGAAAGCTTTAAAGGAAATAATGGTACATGTTGGGTGGCAAAGCTCTTGGTGTGGGCACGACAGCCCTTTCTTTGTCTTCTTTTCATCTAATTCCATTAGAATCAGTCACCTACATGTCAGTGTAGTAGCTTTGATGAAAGAGTTATGTTAAGGCTTAATCTAGATAAAGTGCAGGCAATACTAACCTGTCAGTGGTAATGCTGATAGAATGTTACCTGAAATAAAAACCACCCTTCTCTACAAAGGCATGCTACCCTTCTGTAATTCTGAAGATTCAAAATGATGTAAAATTCCTGAGTGCATTTGCTTATGTGTAATAACTTAAATACTTGGGAAATGTAGCATGCCTGTGTTCCATTGTCCACATTTCAAGATGTATTATATGAGCTTATTTTCCTTTCTAAACCCATTTGTCAATTAACTTATGGCATTTTAATTTTTCCTGTTTTTAAATAATATAAAAAACTAATATTGTACTTTTTGATAATGTGACCTGGTTGAATTCCTTATTAACTATTAATTTTGGTTGAGTGGCTTGTCTAATTTAAATATGAAAATAAATCACCTTTACCCTTCCTATCAGTATAATTACATATCCTGACTGAAAATCTGAGACTCATGTCCATTTTTTTAATATTTCAGTTGGAAAAAATAATCTGCTCTAGTAATCAAGCAGTAGGTATGCTTAATGGAGGTAATTAAATGTACTTAGTGAAGGGACTACTCAAAGATTATCCTAAGTATTAAAAGTTCTCCTGCTCTTCTCACTTCCTCTTTGCTCATATAACCATTACAGTTTAGAAGAGATATATTAATAATTATCAAATAACAGAGTGTGATCTTTAAAATTATTAAACATATAATTATAAAATTACTTTATATCGGATCTGTCATAGTAATTATCCAGTAAAGCAGTTTCTTCACAGTTAATCTACTTTAGCATTAATTTTAATACACCAAGCATTTCATTGTATAAAACTATTAAAATACATTGTCTTACATTTTCTATTTTTCAGTATATCATCCTTTTTTCATTTCTCACTCCTTTCTTTTCTTCCTTCCACCTTTTCTTTGCTCCTTTCTTTTGAAATTTTTTCTACTTTTGTCCATTTTAAGGCAGTTTATTCTTCCTTTCACCTGTACCTACGTGAATTTTCTATTTCCTTAAATGCTTCAAGATTCTTGAAGGTAATGAATTATCGAATCACATGATCATGTAAGTAAAATATCTACTTATATGTGGTAGGAGTTGGCACTGTGAGGTTCAAAAGACTTGAGCCCTCTTTTCCGAGAGCTTAAAATATTGTGAAGGATTTAAGACCTACAAATGAATAGGTGAATCCAAAGGCAATCTATGATGGACACCAGCTGAGTGGCATAACATGTAGTTAGTATTAATAGAACTATCGTTAGACAATTATTAGCTAATTGCAAAATAAATGGAGGCACTTTGAATGATATCAGATGATAATAATGTATCTATTAATAATATAAATGTCACTTGTGAAGAGAAGGCCATAATAGTCTTATCTACTTAACAATGATATTTTAAAGCCAGAGAGTGCAACAAATCATGCCTAAAGATGTGATTACATTAACAGTCTAAAGAATTTTTACATGACTATATTCTGCTTAAAGAAATCCAGAGAGATGCTTTTCAATCTGTTTATTAGATTTTATACCAAAATATCACTGATGATCACCCTTGTCACTTGTCAGTATGCAGTTAACAAGAGAATACAGAAGGCTGATTAGAAATCATAATGATACTATTGATAAAGAACATGGCAGCACTGAGCATAACGTTTATAAGAAAATTTTCTCTAGAATAGAGAAGAAAATTAGCCTTCGTGTAGATATGGTGAAAAATAAGTACCCAGCTAAAATATTTAGCAAAACATGTCATATAATGTTTGAAGATAGGCATAATATTTATCTATTGCTGCACAAAAATATTACCACGCATTTAGTGGTTAACACACACACACACACACACACACACACACACACACACACACACACACACATTTATGATCTCTGAATTTCTGTGGGTAAGAAGTCCGGTACAGATCAATTGAGTCCTTTGCTTAGGCTCTTCCTTGCATAAAAATATTGACTGGAACTGTGAGATCCTTTGAGGTGAAAGCTCCTGAATGCTGTCAACTGAACATGGCCACCCTCAGCTCCTGCTGCATGGCCTTCCCATATGGTGGCTTATAATATGGTAGCTTGCATTTTCAATGCCAGCAGAGAAGAGCTTAATCTCGCGAGATGGATGTTACAATCTTATGTAGCATATTCTCATTAGTTAAAAGCCAGTAACAGGTCCTGTCAATATTCAAGGTAGAGATTACACAAGGACATGAACACGGGAGGCAAGTTGCAGTTTTTGACTTTTTTTTTTTTTTGGTCTAATACAAGTGTCGCCGTCTGTGCTCTTGTGTATTATTGGCATGAAATTAATTAACAATATGAAGTCATATTGTTAATTAATTGCTAGAGCAGCATCAGGGTGTATGTTACATAAAATCTAAAGCCATGAAAATATTTATTTATATTTTAATGAATAATATTAAAATTATCATTTTTTATTTTACATTGTTTTATCTATGATTCATATATTTATATATTTTATTTCATGGCTGAACTATTAAAGTGGAAGTAAAGTACTCAAAATGACCTAAGTATGCTCTTTACTATACTAGCTGCCTTAGTTTGCTAGGGTTGCTATAACAAAATACCACAAACTAATGGCTTAAATAGCAAAGATTTATTTTTCACAGTTCTGGAGGCTGGCAGTCTGAGATCAAAGATGGCAGGTTTATTTTTTTCTTAAGTCTCTGCTTGGATTGCAGATGGTCACCCTCTTTCTGGCTCTTTACCTGATTGCCCTTCTGTGCATGTGCCCTGGTCTGTATTTGTAGAAAGTTCCTCTTCTTATAAAGACCAATTGGATTAGGGCCAACTGTTGTGGTCTCACTTTAATGTAATCACCTCTTTAAAGTCCTATTTCCAAATAAAGTCACATTTTGAGGTACTAGGGGTTAGAGCTTCAACACTGGGATCTTTAGGGTGGTGGACAAAATTCCTCTCATAACACTAGGTGTGTAAAGTATGGAGAGAAATGAAACAGTTCCTGCCTAGAAGAACATAGGCCAGCATAATTATCTAACAGAATGCAAACCCAATTTTATTTCTTAGCAACACAATCATTTTCTTTGTCCTAGACCTTGGAGAGATCTATGACAATGATGGTGACATGAGGCAATGGGTGCAACTATGAAGAACAACATTAGGAAATATTATGCTGGTTCGTGGCCTTTTGCAAGTAATTTGCTATTAGTAATACAAGTATCTTATATAATTTAATTATTAAGTAATTTTCACTAACATTGATCTCTTTAATAAAAACATATTTTACAAATGTCATTTAGGTTAAAAATTAAATCAAAACAAAATTATAGAATATCAATAAAATAGTGGGAGGAAAATTCTAAATATCTGAACCAGTAATATAAGTTAAATAACAAATTTAACACTGGAAATATTTTCCTGAAAAATTAGACTTCCTATAATCTAATTATTAAGAGACTATGTCCAAATATTTTAAATAAGAAAAATATAATGTATTATATGTTGACTGAAAATACATAGCTAATCTCTGAAAATGTAAACAAAGTACAATTAAATGCATATATATGTGTTTGTATATTTAAAACAAAATAGCACGTTAGAATGAAACATGCTATAGAACATTACTATCTAATCAAACTATTACTATTTGTGATGGACTGAGGGCTTATACTTATTCTTCTAGTTACTAGAAGGAATGCTGTTAGACAGCTTTCTGCATGCAATTTTCTTCAAGAATCACCTAGTCAGAGCAGTATCACATTTATTTTCTGAGGCAGCCTGAATCCAATGAGTCACTTAGTTCCCCAAATCTTGACAATCTTAAATAGCCATTCTAGCTTCAAAGCTTCCTACAGGTTGAGTTAAAAACTTTCTTCGGATTATACCAGAACTGAAATTGTCCCTCTGCCCAATTATCTCTCCTTCCCTATCTTCTACAGATGAAGACCCTAAAAGCCCTCTCTAATAACCTCCTGCATGTTAATCTCTGCCTCAGAGTTTTCGATACAATTACACAGTCATTACTTTTTCTGATGCTTGGAGCATTTTTCAGAATGTCTGCATGTGATTTTGATGTTCTACAAATGTTTTCCATATTTTTTTTAGTATCAAATTGAGTAAATAGGTCATAAACTTATTTTATGTAATCATTGTCAAAAATGTCATACTAAAAAATACATAATATTCTATGTTTTTCCATAATGAATCAGCAACAGATTCTATCAAATATTGTAAACTCAAGAAACATTTTGAAGATTAGATGTGAATACTGCCAAAGTTTCACTTAGGAAAAAGTTCAGAGCCCTGATCATATGATTTATTAAATAAGAAAAAGTGAAAATAAATTAATTTAGCATTTAGCTAAACAAAGAGGAACACCAAAATACCCAAGGGAGCAAATAGATAGAATTGGTAATAATCAATAAGTATTAAACATTATTAAACAATAAATTTGGGAGATAAAAATCAAAATTTTTTAAAATTTATGTAAAGAATATGAGGAAAAATAATCCACTAGTAACCTATTAGTTACTAACCTATTAGAACAAAATGCTCTAGAGAGTGATATTAAAAATGATAAAAAATAAGAAAAAGTCTACAAATCAATATATGGCAGATGAAGAACAAAGGAAACATGATGAGAAATAGATTCTCCTGTAATGACAGACTATTTGAAAATGAGTAATGTAAGTGAAGGAAAAGAAATCTTGAATAAGGAAAGACATAATAGAAAATAAATATACTGGTATTCTGGGGTTAATATAACAAAACCACATAACCTACATGTAGGGGAGTGATTTATTTTAAAATATCCATCTTATTAGTGTGGATGTAATTGGGCATAGATATCTTGGTAGAAAATAAGTCATCTTCATATAAAGGATCAGAAATATGTGCTTTTATATAAAATTGAAAAGAGTATTAAAACTCCTAAATTAACCAGAAAATCTACACCTTGATAAATCTTCCTGAAATAAGAAAAAGAAAAAAGGGGAAAAAAAGTAAAACAAAGAGTAAATATAAAATAATATAAAAAGAAATAATACCAGATAAAAGTGTTCACACTATTTCCCCCCATAATGACAGGTGATATGGCTTGGCTGTGCTCCCACCCAAATCTTATCTTGAATTGTAGTTCCCATAATCCCCATGTGTCATGGGAAGGACCCAGTGTGAAGTGATTGGATCATGGTGGCGGTTCCCCCATGCTGTTCTCATGATAGTGAGTTCTCCTGAGATCTGATGGTTTTGTAAACATCTGGCATTTCCCCTGCTGGCACTTCTCTCTCCTGCTGCTTTGGGAAGAAGGACATTTTGCTTTTGCTTCTTCCATGATTGTAAGTTTCCTGAGCCTCCCCAGCCATGTGTAACTGTGAGTCAATTAAACCTCTTTTCTTTATAAATTACCCAGTCTTTCAGGTATTTCTTCATAGCAGTGTGAGAACAAACTAGTGCAATAAATAGGTACTGAGGTAATGGGGCAATGCTATAGAAATACCCAAAAATGTGGAAGCAGCTTTGTAACAGGTAGAGTTTGGAATAGTTTGGAGGGCTCAGAAGAAGACAGAAACATGTGGAAAAGTTTGGAACTTCCTAGAGACATGTTGAATGGTTTTGACCAAAATGCTAGTAGTGATTTGGACAATGAAGTCCAGCCAGAGGTGGTCTCAGATGGAGTTGAGTTCTTAGGAAGCAGCTTTGTAACAGGTAGAGTTTGGAACAGTTTGGAGGGCTCAGAAGAAGACAGAAACTTGTGGAAAAGTTTGGAACTTCCTAGAGACATGTTGAATGGTTTTGACCAAAATGCTAATAGTGATTTGGACAATGAAGTCCAGTCTGAGGTGGTCTCAGATGGAGATGAGTTCTTAGGAGCTGGAGCAAAGGTAACTCTTGCTATGCCTTAGCAAATCATTTTGGTGACATTTTGCCCCTGCCCTAGAGATCTGTGGAACTTTGAACTTGGGAAGACATGATTTAGGATATCTGGTGGAAGAAATTTCTAAGTGGCAAAGTGCTCAAGAGGAAGCAGAGCATAAAAATTTAGAAAATTTGCAGCCTGATGATGCAATTGAAAAGAAAAACCCATTTTCTGAGGAGAAATTCAAGCCTACTACAGAAATTTGCATATGTAAAACAGAACAGAATGTTAATCACCAGGATAATGGGGAAAATGTCTCCAGGGCACGTAAGAGACCTTTACAGCAGCCCTTCCCATTACATGCCTGGAGGCCTAAGTGGGAAAAATGTTTCCTGGGCTGGGCCCAGGGCTCCCCACTCCGTGCAGCCTCAGGACATGGTTCCTTGCATCCCAGCAGCTTCATCTCCAACCATGGCTAAAAGGGGCCAAGGTACAGCTTGGGCCATTACTTCAGAGGGTGAAAGCCCCAAGCTTTGGTGGCTTCCATGTGGCTTTGAGTCTGTGGGTACACAGAAGTCAAGCGAGGTTTGGGAAACTCTGCCTAGGTTTCAGAGGGTGTATGGAAATGCCTGGATGTCCAGGCTGAAGTTTGCTGCAGGGGTGGAGACCTCATGGAGAACCTCTGCTAGAACAGTGCAGAAGGGAAATGTGGGTTCAGAGTCCCCACCCAGAGTGCATACTAGAGCACTGCCTACTGGAGCTGTCAGAAGAGGTCCGCTGTCCTCCAGCCCCCAGAACAGTAGATACACTAAAGGCTTACACCATGTACCCAGAAAAACTGCAGACACTAAATGCCAACTCATGAAAGCAGCCAGGAGGGGCACGGTACCCTGAAAAGCCACAGAAGTAGAGCTGCCCAAGGCCATGGGAACCTATCTCTTGCATCAGTATGCCCTGGATGTGAGACATGGAGTCAAAGGAGATCATTTTGGAACTTTAAGGTTTAATGTCTGTTCTATTGGATTTCAGAATTGCATGGGGCCTGTAGCCCCTTTGTTTTGGCTAGTTTCTCCCATTTGGAATAGGTGTGTTTACACAATGCCTGTACCCCCATTGTACCAAGGAATTAACTAACTTGCATTTGATTTTACAGGCTCATAGGCAGAAGGGTCTTGCCTTGTCTCAGATGAGACTTTGGACTTGGACTTTAGAGTTCATGCTGGAATCAGTTAAGCCTTTGAGGACTGTTGAGAATGCATGTTTTTGTTTTGAAATGTGAGAACATGAGATTTGGGATGGGCTGGGGGTGGAATGACATGGTTTGCCTATGCGCTCACCCGAATCTCATCTTGAATTGTGGTTCCCGTAATCCCCATGTGTCATGGGAGGAACCTGGTGGGAAGTGATTGGCTCATAGGGGTAGTTTTCCCCATGATGTCCTCATGATAGTGAGTGAGTTCTCAGGAGATCTGATAGTTTTCCAAGCATATACCATTTCCCCTTCTAACACTTCTCTGTCCTGCCACCTTGTAAGGAAGGCCGTTTTTGTTTCCCCTTCCACCATGCTTGTAAGATTCCTGAGGCATCCCCAGTCATGCGGAACTGTGGGTCAATTAAACTATTTTTCTTTATAAATTACCCAGTCTTGGGTATTTCTTCAGAGCAGCATGAGAACAGACTAATATAACAGGTAATCATGTATTTTGTTTAGAAGCAAAACCTATCTATGTTCTATTTAGAAGGGACAAATTTATTAAAGTATAAGAAAAGTTTAAAATAATGGGCCAAGAAGGAGTGACAACATTAATATCAAGATATGATTAGATTTAGAATTAAAGGGCCTAAATATATGACATGAGACATTATGTAATCATAAGAAAAATGTAAGGGAAATATATAATAATAGTGAACTTGTATCTTGCAAATAACTGCCTGGAAGAAATACTGAAGTTTTAGCAATGCAAAGCTAACTTGATAAGCAACATTTTCATCGAAAATTCTAATATCCCTCTTATAAACTAAATATTCTGGTGAAATGATAAATATAAAAAATATGTTCCATTATTTATTTTATTTATGTTAATATTTATACAGAGATGACATGTGTGTGCATATTTAATCATGTATCCCTCAAATGGAGAACATATATTTGGTGTTTGGAGAGTATTTACAAATATTTGTCATGTGCTTGGCTACAGAGTAAATTATTTATAGATTAAAATAATTAGATATGCTCATGTCACCATCTTTAGTCATATCTAATAAAAGTAGAAATTAATAATCAATTTTTACCAAAAATATAAATGCAGTTTAAAAACCAAAAAACATACTGTTAGGTAATTTTTAGAGCAAAGAAGAAATCCATACAAAAAGTACAAATATATACAAAGCAACAAAAAGTAGAATGCACTATTCCAAAGCTTACAGGACACAATGACAATGAGTCACATGAAATAATGTAGCATTAAATGATGTCACCATTGTAGATCACAGAAAAAAGACACCCATATACTTACTTTGACAACGTTTTTGAATCATTCATATTAGGGAATTAATAAAAATTAAACTGATAAATGGAACTCTTCAAATGGTAAAAAGAATAAGTATTTTCAGAACCTGTTTCCTTTAGACTTACCCTTGAGACAAATCTCTTGATTGTCTGAATAAGAAAAAAGGAAGAAAATGTAAAATTTGACAGGTCTGCCTGAAGCAAATTTGTTTTTGTAAAAGAAACCAATAGTTTTCTAACAAAATAACCAAATACATGCAAAAAGAAAACACTAGGATAATAATTAAAGAGATTTCAATTGTAATTACGTAGCAACCATCACTTGAAGAAAGCAAGGATTACTTGAAGAAAATGTGTTTAAAGAATTTACCATCATCCCTGGTGCATAGAAAAATTAATATTGATTTCTTTTAATTTTGAGGAAGAACAGGAAACCATGATGAGAATATTTCCATGATTTATTCACATCCTGTTCTCACTTCTTTCTCATTTTTCCTTTTGAAATGCCCTAAGAACTATTAGGAATTCTTTCTAAGTGTAAGAGAATTAGTATTCAATGGATCATTATTATTTTTGTTTTTGCGATTGTTTATGTCAGTTATTTTCTTTCCTAATGAGGTGATTTTGAACTTTGGCCTTGGGGGAAAAATGTTTTCTTACAAATAAGCTAAACGTTGCTTAGAGATCATTATCTTTTAAATAAATATCAGAAAGTATTTTTTTCAAGTGTTACTTTATGTTATATGCTTAACTCAACAAAATAGTGCTATATTTACTTTAAATATACTCTTAAAAATAAGGAAACTGACCAAAAAAGTAGTCAAAACTTTCCTCCTATTGATACCTGAAATAAATTCTGAATTCATAGAAAAGTTGAATTTAAAGTATAATTCTAGGATATAAACATATATAAAGAGTAAATATAAATTAAATTATACTTAATGGAATAGAGTATCCAAAATGTAAAAACGTTTTTTAAACCTAGTCATATTAGAGTTCAGTAATATATTCCTATATGGAATGGATATATTCCAATTCTGTTGATTATAAATCACTAATATTCTTCTGAAATGCATTATAAAATCAGAGGTCTTTTTTCCTGCAGAGAAAAACTCCTATTATATAAATTTGAAAATTTTGGCAAGAACGAGGAAGCAATGATGAATATCTTAGGATCAAACTGTGTATTACTGAATAAATACCAGTGGTGCAAAGATTCCTGGGAGTTGTCAAATTTGTCAGATTTTAATTTCTAGCTGTTTGATGACATTGCCATTATGTATTGATTATGAAATCTCTCTTTAAGCATCATCCAATCCCTGAATTGTCACTTATATTAATTAGGCATTTCTTTCCTCCACATCCTTTTTTTTTTTCCTCTTACATAGTCTGACAGACCTGGACTAAAATACAATAATGCATCTTTCATTGTAACCATCTATATGTCTTTTAGACACAAATACCTAAAGATACAGGGCTTCAATAAACTTAACTATCTGTAAAGTTTTAATGTATAACTCCACTAGTAACTTTACATAAAATGTGAGGGAAAATACCTATATATAATTATTATCATAAAACAGTGGCATAAAGAAAAAATAGTAACAATATATGTTGAAAAAATTCATAATATTCTTCGATTTTGTGTTTTTTAAATATTAATATCAAATAAATTAGTAGTAGTGGACTAGATATTAAGTGAATAAAATCTGTGAACAATTTTCCAATGGGATATTATTTTTGTTTTCTGTGTAATAAAAAATAAAAGGAGGTAGTTATTAAGGTGAAGAATGGTGTGTGTGTGTTTCAAAAGGTGAGTAAATGGGCTCTGTGGCTCATGCCTGTAATCTCAGCACTTTGGGAGGCCAAGATGGGTGGATCACATGAGGTCAGGAGTTTGAGACTAGCCTGGCCAACATGGTGAAACCCCGTCTCTACTAAAAATACAAAAAACAAGCCAAATGAGATGGGGCATGCCTATAATCCCAACTACTTTACTTGGGAGGCTGAGGCAGGAGAATCGCTTGAACCTGGGAGGCGGAGGTTGCAGTGAGCTAAAATGGCACCACTGCACTCCATCCAGCCTGGGTGACAGAGACTCCATCTCAAAAAAAAAAAAAGTAAGTAAACTAATGGGTAAAATAACTCTGTTCTTCTGTGATTATGAGTAGACACAGTGAATTAATCCCTTTTTAAAAAAATTTATTCTAATATGGAACATATACTGTTCAATTTTAAATCAATGAATTATGATCATGGAGACAGAGAAAAAAGTAAGAGTTTTTTGTAAAAGTTTGCTTTGCAATTTGTATTAAGTTTTTAAGCACAAATATTTCCTGCGAATGCTGTGAAATTATTTGGATCAAGAACCCAGATGTTAGATATTTACAACTGATCACTGGTTTAACCAAATTCGTTTTCTCTCTTTAAATTTTTCCATTCAAAGGTAATATAACCATATCCTTCAAGTTTCTAAGTTGAATAAAAAGTCTAAAGAAATATTGCTCAGGTGAGCTTACTGAATTCACAATAAGAATACCTTCTAACATAGTTTCTTTTTCCGTACTCTTTACTTGAGACTAAGAAATTACGTAGCATAGATCACAAAGTGGTGTATCTCAGATCAGAATCTAGAATAGAATTGTAATATATGTGACACAGATATTTAGCCAAGATGTGAAGTTTGAGCTGATATTATAAAAAAGCTGAAATATGTCTCTTCTCTTGAAAATCTGAAGCTCTGAAGTGCTCAGGTTATATTCCTCCATGACAAAAGTTTAGCAGGCATTGAGAGGAGTGTGATTTTCCTTAGATAAGACACAACTTCCTACTTATTCAGAAGTTATTTGTGTCAACCCATTTCAATAATTTGTATTAACTGGGCAATATGGACATTTTCATTTGTGAACTTCATTTAACCCAATACTGAGGAACTCACTGTTGTACAATAATAGGAAAAAAAAGGAAGAAAAGAATTTTCTACTTAATTGTTGGTAGTTGTGAATTGCTTTGCTGATCCTTTAATGACTACTTGCTGTAGGCAGATTCTGTGCCAGATGATAGCAATAAGAATAAAGATAAATGAGCCACGTTCTCTGGTCTAGAGGAGTAACAGAGACATATGCAAAAAGGAAATACTGTGGTAGATGAATCCATAGGATGCAGTTGCAGCACAGAGGAAATATATCTAATGGAGATGACAAGTGAGACAATGTGAAGAGAAGCTATGTCTTGGAGGATAACAAAACCGTAAATTGAGAAAATGATAGAATCCTTAAATTACATCTCAATTTGTCATTTTCATCATTTTATCTTGTTTTAATTCCATTGTGCTAAATGTTTTATATACAAATCCCAACAGTGTGTTTTAATTTCCCAAAATAATATTTTTGTTATCTAAATCGAATAATTTTATTTTTTCAACTTGAATATTATTGGTTATAATAAATCTATATACTTACAGATATCACAGGAGGTTTTTTCTGGCCTCTTTACATTTTAATGCCCTTTATATCCCATTGATGACCACTGTTTTGAAGCTCTTTTCCACCACAAATTAGATTTGTTTGGTATAGAATTTTACATAAATTCAGTAATATACTATATCCTGTGGTACAAAAAAAAAAATCTTTCAGTCTGTATAATGCTTTTAAGGAATATCCATGTTGTTTTATGTCCTAATAAGTCATAAAGTTTTACTCCCACATAGTATTCCATTGCATGAGTATATCAGCATATGATTCATTCTCGGGTGTGTGGACACTAGTACTGTTTTGGTCTGTTATTAGCAAGTTTATCATGAGCATTTATATATGAGTCTTTTTCATAAACATACATTTTTCCCCTCCTGGATAAATATGTAGAAATGGAATTTCTGGACAGGTGTATGTTAAATGTTGGAAGAAGGTGTCACATATATTTCAAAAGTAGTTACATTGATTCTGCTAGTTTCTTTTATCTGAAAATGTCTTAATTTGCTTCATTCATAAAAGATATTTTGGGCAGTTTCAGAACTCAGAATCAATATGCTTCATTTTTAAAGTGTTTTGACACTTAAAATACTCCACTATCTTCTAGCCTCCATAGTTTTAGATGAGAAGTCAGGAAAAATACCATAAAGCTTGGCAACATTCTGAAATATTCAGTATGTCTCCTTGGCCTCCACTTTGTAGGACCTTCAGCTATGTCTGAGCTCCCTATAACTAATGTCCTTTATTAGTTTTTTTTTTTTAAATTTGGAATAACTATAGAGTAACAGGAAGTTGCAAAGATATTACAGAGTGATTCTATGTGGCCCTTAACCAGCTTTTCCCAGTAGTTACATCTGCTATAGTACTATTATGAAATCAAGAAATTAGTATTGGAACTCTGTGTGTGTGTGTGTGTGTGTGTGTGTGTGTGTGTGTGTGTTTTGTATTTCTATTCCATTTATCATGTTTCCTGTAACCACCACCTGAGTCAAGTACAGAACTACTTCATCACAACAAAGATCTACTGATGTATTTTACCAGTTTGAGTGAAGTGTTGAAACTGTAACTTCTTTTTAAGTCTCTTGATTTCCCCTGATTATAATGTAATTGTCTTAACCATTTCCTTTTTGTACACTGGGATTCCCATTAGATAATTTTAAGCTTTTGCTTCAAACTAAAGAGAAATAAAATATATTAGATTGTTTTGAAAACTGTTCTTGTGTATATTTGAGGGGTACGATACATTATAAAATACGTATATACTATAAAATAATTACTATAGTGAACAAATTAACTTACCCATCATCTTAGATGGTAGTAGCAAATATGTACAATGAACAAGTTGAAAGATCTAATCATGTACAACATGAGGACTGTAGTTAATGATAGTGTACTGGAGTTACACATGTTTGCTCTGCATATTGTACTGTCTTTCTTCTTGGGGTTCCAAGGTTCATTCTTTTATCATTTCTTTCTGTTTACCAAACTTCCTCAAAAATTTTTTTAGAGTAGATCTGCTTATAACAAATTCTCAGTGTTTTTCTTCACCTACAAATGTCTTCATTTCTGAAAGATAGGATTGCTGACCATAGAATTTGGGGTAAAGAAAATGTTTCAACCCTTGAAAATTTTGTGCCACTTCACTCTTGCCCCCGAACTTCTGATGAGAAATATGCTGTCAATTAAATTGTTTTACTCATATAGTTAACATGTTTGTATTCATTCCTTTCTAGATAGATAGATAGATAGATAGATAGATAGATAGATAGACAGACAGACAGACAGACAGACTGACTCACTGACTTCAGTTTGAATAGATGTGTGTTTGGATTTATTTAGAATTATCCACTTAGGGTACACTCAGATTCATGAATCTGTAGTTGTTAATATCTTTTGCCAGATTTAGAAATTTTGTTTTTTTTTTATTATTATACTTTAAGTTTTTGGGTACATGTGCACAATGTGCAGGTTAGTTACATATGTATACATGTGCCACGCTGGTGTGCTGCACCCATTAACTCGTCATTTAGCATTAGGTATATCTCCTAATGCTATCCCTCCCCGCTCCCGCCACCCCACAACAGTCCCCAGAATGTGATGTTCCCCTTCCTGTGTCCATGTGTTCTCGTTGTTCAATTCCCACCTATGAGTGAGAACATGCGGTGTTTGGTTTTTTGTCCTTGTGATAGTTTACTGAGAATGATGATTTCCAGCTTCATCCATGTCCCTACAAATGACATGAACTCATCATTTTTTGTGGCTGCATAGTATTCCATGGTGTATATGTGCCACATTTTCTTAATCCAGTCTATCATTGTTGGACATTTGGGTTGGTTCCAAGTCTTTGCTATCGTGAATAGTGCCGCAATAAACATACGTGTGCATGTGTCTTTATAGCAGCATGATTTATAGTCCTTTGGGTCTATACCCAGTAATGGGATGGCTGGGTCAAATGGTATTTCTAGTTCTAGATCCCTGAGGAATCGCCACACTGACTTCCACAATGGTTGAACTAGTTTACAGTCCCACCAACAGTGTAAAAGTGTTCCTATTTCTCCACATCCTCTCCAGCACCTGTTGTTTCCTGACTTTTTAATGATTGCCATTCTAACTGGTGTGAGATGGTATCTCATTGTGGTTTTGATTTGCATTTCTCTGATGGCCAGTGATGATGAGCGTTTTTTCACGTGTCTTTTGGCTGCATAAATGTCTTCTTTTGAGATGTGTCTGTTCATATCCTTTGCCCACTTTTTGATGGGGTTGTTTGTTTTCTTCTTGTCAATTTGTTTGAGTTCATTGTAGATTCTGGATATTAGCCCTTTGTCAGATGAGTAGGTTGCGAAAATTTTCTCCCATTTTGTAGGTTGCCTGTTCACTCTGATGGTAGTTTCTTTTGCTGTGCAGAAGCTCTTTAGTTTAATTACATTTTCTGCCATTATTTCTTTAAATACTTTTTAAACTTCCCCCTCAAGTTTCTCCTTTCCTCTGGGACTCTGATGACACAAAGTTACATCTTATAAACTGTTGTTATAGTCCCACAGGTCCCTGAAGTTCAGTTCATGATTTTTTTTTCAGTTTATTTTCTATTATTCATTTTAACAAATTTTATTTTTGTATTTTCAAGTTCACCAATTCTTTCCTCTGCCTTTTCCATTCTCCTGTGAACTTGAAAATAGAAAAATACATTTTACTTATGTTTTTATTTCTAAAATTGCATTTCATTCTTCTTAATATCTTATATTTCTTTGCTGAGACTTTCTAATTTTTTATTTTTTCAAACACCTTTATAATTGCTCGTTGAAGGATTTTTATAATGACAGCTTGAAAATTCTTTTCAGATCATTACAAAATCTGTCACATTTTGGTATTGTCATTTATTAATTGCCTTCGTGGTGATATTTACTTGGAAAACATAAGTTTTCTATCCTGGACATTTTAGATATAGTATTATGAGATTCTGGATATTTTAAAAAATCATCTTTTTAGCTGGCATCCTCTGACACTGCTGGTGGGGGAAGTGAGTCCTGAGTCAGTAGCTCCAGGTAGGGGTCAAGGTCCAGATTCCCCAAATGGCATCTTTTGACATACCTCGTCACTTCTGTTTTAAGTTATTTGAGAAACCTCCAGAATGCTTTCCACAATGGCCAAACTAGTTTACATTCCTACTAGCAGTGAAAGTGGGATATTGGGCTTTTCACTGGGCCTCTGCTGACACCTCTCTGGCTAAGAACGGGAGGAGTGCATCATTTCCAATGGGCATGGGTAGAAGTCTAGTTTCCCACTCAACATTTGAAGATGAGGGTGGGAGCGGGTCTGTATTTGTTTAAATGTTTATTTTAGGTTCAGGGCTACGTGGGCAGGTCTGTTATAGAAATGAATTGCATGCTGTGGAGGTTTGGTATACAGATTATTTTTTCACCCAGGTAATAAGCATACTACCCCATGAGTAGGTTTTTGATTGTTACCCTCTTCCTTCCCTTCACCCTCAAATAGGCTCCTGGTGTCTGTTGTTCCCTTCTTTGTGTCTATAGGTACTCACTGTTTAGATTCCACTTACAAGCAATAACAGATGGTATTTGGTTTTCTGTTCCTGTATTAGTTTGCTTAGGATAACGGCCTTCAGTTCCATCCATGTTGTTTCAAAGGATGTGATCTCATTCTTTTTTTATGGCTGCATAGTATTCCATGGTGTATGTGTACCACATTTTCTTTATCTAGTCTACCATTGATGGGCATCTAGGTTGATTCCTTGCCTTTACTATTGTGAATAGTGCTGCGATGAACATATGTGTGCATGAGTCTTTATGGTAAAATAATTTATATTTCATTTGGGTATATCAGTGATGGGATTTCTGGGTTAAATGGTAATTCTGTTTTAAGTTCTTTGAGAAATCTCCAGAATGCTTTCCACAATGGCTGAACTAGTTTACATTCCCACTAGCAGTGCATAAGCATTCACTTTTCTCCACAACTTCGGCAGAGTCTGTTATCTTTGGACTTTCCAATAGCTATTCTGACTGGTGTGAAATGGTATCTCATTGTGGTTTTGATTTGCACTTCTCTAACGATTAGTGATGTTGAATATTTTTCATATGCTTGTTGGCCTCATGAATGTAATTTTTCATGATGTTTGGCTAGAGCAGGTCAGTTATTTTAACGTTTTCTGTCTTGCAACATTGCTTTTGTTTGGTTAAAGCAGGCATTTGGGGGTGCTATTTTTATCTGAACTCTTGTTGGTAGTTCAAGGTATTTTTCTAAGCACTTATGATCTGGGATATATAAAGTATAAAGAAAACCCAGTGTGCTCACCAATATGTTATTTCTCGGATCCTAGGATTACTAGCTAGTCTTGCTTCTTCCCTCCAACTTTCAGTTTTCTGTTTGTTTTACAAATAATGTCCAGGATTGTTAGCCATTATTAGCAGAAATAATAGGAATAAATGCATTTTTCCATTTCAGCGTGGAACCAAATATACACTCTTAATATATTTTAATAATTCTTATTTTTACTACTGTGTTCCAAATATCGCTGGTAGTAGATTACATGATACATTTTAAAGTAATACTGGGCTTCCAAAAAAAGTAAGAAGCAGACATGTGAAGATTGTGATACTCATTTTATAGTTACATTCTATATTATCATTTAACTGTTGCTAATTTGCAGTTATATCTTAATAGTTCAATTTGCATTTCTGTGATTACTAATGATATTAACTATTTTCCCTAATTTAAGTAATTAATTTTTTCCTCAATAGGACTCAAATCCTCTCATTGAAAAAGTCTCTTTCATTGAAATCTTTCATTGATATCGGTACTGTCCTTGGCCTCAGGTGATATTTTAAAAACGTCCTTCTCAGTCTTTTTCAGTGGTTCATCTTTTTGTACAAAACATTACATTTAAAGATTTCTTAATTTTTTGTTCTTTTTTTATTTAGGCATTATAATCTCTAGCAGTCTCTTTTCTGCCCAAGGTGTGATATTATCACCAATATGTAATAAACACAAAATTTTATCTCACTGAAGCCCATACCTTAGTATGTAAATGTTTACTTATGTTTTCCAAGTAAATATCATAAATATAATTGAGATTCAACATATTTATAACCAAACATATGGTTTAGTTTTGTAAACTTGTTCCTCTTAAATATCTCTTGTATTCCTTCCTCTCTTTCAATACACAAATGCCACCCATTCCAGTACTAATCCTATATATTTTAACCTCTTAAATATTTATTGATTCTACCTACTTCTCTGCCTTTCTTTCCATCTCCTTATATCCAGCAGCCATTATCACTCACATGAGCTAATTTAGTGGCTTCCTGCTTTCCCCAGACCTCTCTTTTCCTCAGATACTTCTTTTTGTATACTGAAGTCAAAATTTTCCAGTCTACAAATCTGATCTTCTCCCTGATTCTCCATTCCATCTCTGGCTTAAAAGTCTCCAGTGCTTTTCTATTGCCTTAATATCAAGTGGTCAGTCTTTATCATGGCCCACAGTCTGGGTACAGTCTTACCTCTCAACCTGACCTCAAATGGTCTCATTTCTTCACGATGCCAAACTCCTGAGGGCCTTTTAACATTTGGCTGTTTCTGATTGGAATGGTCTTTCCGCACTGCTTCTTCTCTGATCCTGCTAATTGCTTTATAATGCTGTTTCATAACTAAATCTTTACTTCCTCAGAGAAACTAGAGTGAATTTCTCTATTGGGGTTTCCTGGAACCATATAGCTATCCTTTTTTATTTTTGTCAGTTTTATTTACTTATACATTGGGGTGATTATTTGCTGGATGTTTACTTTCTTATCTGGACTCTTCTATAAGGTTAGAGGTCAGAAGACATTTGATTGTGTTCATCTGTGTATCTCGAATATCTGCACAATGTGTTGCATACATTTAGTACTCAATATAAAAGTTTTTGAATTAAAAAAGAAATAAATTGGCTGGGTGCAGTGGCTCACACCTGTAATCCCAGCACTTTGGAAGGCCGAGGTGGGCAGATTGCTTCAGCCCAGGACTTTGACACCAGGCTGGCCAACATGACAAAACCTCATCTCTACAAAAAATACAAAAATTAGCCAGGTGTGGTGGTGTGCACATGTGGTCCCACTTAAGAGACTGAGGTGGGAGGATCTCCTGAGCACCAGAGGCAGAGGTTGCAGTAAGCTGAGACCATGCCACTGCACTCCAGCCTGGTTGATAGTATGAGATCCTGTCTCGAAAAAGGAAGAAAAATTATAATTTTGTGATATTTTTTTGTCTAGTAACATACTGTTTTGATAATATATGTGTGAGTGCATAGGATATTTAATCTTCATTATTTATGTTAGAAATTCAGTTTGTAATTTGTTTTTAATTGTTATGTTAGTAAATAGTCTATCACCTAAGATCTGACATATGTATTATAAATATTATTACATGTTGAAATATCACATATCTGAAGTGTTTTCAGGGTAGACCTTGCTAGTTTTCTCGAAGTAGCTCAGATAGTCCTATTAGAAATAATTCTAACTATAAAAAAGTGATCGTAATATGATTTGTACTATAATGACCTTGGAAATTATAAAATATAACTTACTTATTCCTGCTTGAAAATTTGTTATTTTCAAGAAAGTTTATTCAAATTTGATCATATTTTACTATTAATTTATATTGCCTAATACTTTTATATGTATCCAATTTACACATATCCCTCTATGGCTTACTTCTTTTATTCATGAAGAATATGCTATGGATCAAACTTTTGTGTTAACATAGGTACAAATTCTTCAATGTACTGTATGGAATACATTTGACTTATAATTCAAGGAGAAGGCCACATTGACAGGAATTTTTTTATTTGTCTTTATTATTTAATTCTGATATTGATGAATGAATCATTTAGAATCATATATACATATTTATTTCTGCCATGAAAGTTAATGTTTCCATTAAATTTACATGTAAAAGATTCAAAAATAGATTTGCTATATACCATGTTTTACAGAATTTTTAAAAGAAGTTCATGAAGCTTCTCTTGGCCCACAATTTCCAAATAGTTAAATCCAATTTTAGAGTAACTGAGACATACAGGACAATTTGCATTTATAAAGCTGCGTTCCAGTAAGCATCACAGAGAGCTATGTATAATCAAATCAAATCACAATGAATGGTCACTACTAAAATTCCAGATGAACCATATCAAACGAAATCACAAATAACAGTTAGTGCCAAAATACCAAATTGGACAGATGGAATCTGATTTTAGATTTAAAAAAAAATGAATGAGATTCACTATTTCACTGTTAACTGAAGTGATATTTAACAGACTTGTAAGTGTTTAGCAGAAAACTTTCATGCTAAACCATCTATAAATAATTTTTTAATCTATATTTATATCTATTTTAAATCCACTGAAACTACATTCTTTATAAACTATAAACTTGAAATATAGTCAAGTCCTATATTCATAATCATCCATCAGGAATAATACAACATTTAAACTACAGGTCTTCTATCTCAATTACTAACAAGTTTTTGCATATTAAATAAGAGGTAGAATGAAAAAAAATTTCAGTGACATTAATTTTTTTTCAATAAAAAGTAACACAACTTCATAAAATGAATTTGTCTTTGGAAAAGTTAACTTTTTGGTTGAGGATAACATAGGGAATGTAACTGACTAAATATTCTAAGAATTAAAAAGGTGATGTGATTTATTTTACTCTTCCAACCGTTGCAAACAAAATAACCTAAAGCATCTCACCCATAGTTGAAATAGATTTTCTCTATTATTTCCCTAGGAATCAAATCAATTTTCCAAAATAAGACATCAATAGACATTATGAGTCTAAATTACTGAAGTGTGTCATCACTCACCATTCAACCTCTATAGCCACTGCAAGAGTTCCAACCTAAATCATCTCTAATCTGAAAAAATATATATATATCAGTTTCCAAACTTACAAATCTCCTATCACTCACTCATATGATCACAGATTTTCTCAACAACTTCCCATTTTTTCTAGGTCTGGACAGTTGCAAGAGTATCCCAAGATCTTGTCCATTATTCTTATATAATCCCTGACCCAAAATATTATGATATGTATGGGGTACTCTGGCCCCACAATGTAATTTGCCATTCCTAAAATGTATCTCAGTTTTAATGATAAATTGATCTTTCCCTCTCTTTTTATTTTAGATTCAGGGGCACACATACAGGTTTGTTATATAGGTAAACTCATGTCATAGAGGTTTGTTTTACAGATTGTCACCCAGGTACTGAGCCTAGTACCCAATAGTTACTTTTTCTGATCCTCTCCCCATCCCACACCCCGCCCTCAAGGAGGCTGTAGTGTCTGTTGTTTCCGTCTTCCTCTTTGCGGCCAAGAGTTCTCATCATTTGGCTTCCCCTTATAAGTGAGAACATGTGGTATTTGGTTTTCTGTTCCTGCGCTAGTTTGCTAAGGATGATGGCCTCCAGCTGTATCCATGTCCCTGCAAAGGACATGATCTCATTATTTTTTTAAGGCTATCTGGTATTTTATGGTATATATTTACCACATTTTCTTTATCCAATCTGTCATTAATAGGCATGTAGGTTGATTCTATGTCCTTGCTATTATGAATAGAGCTGCAATTAATATTTGCATGCATGTGTCTTTATGGTAGTATGATTTATGTTCCTTTGAAATTGCTGGGTCAAATGATAATTCTGTTTCTAGCTGTTTGAGAAATCACCACACTGCTTTCCACAATGATTAAACTAATTTACACTTCCACCAACATTGTATAAGTATTTCCTTTTCTCCACAATTTTTGCCAACACCTGTTGTTTTTTGACTTTTTCATAATAGCCATCCTAACTGGTGTAATATGATGGTATCTCATTGTGGTTTTGATTTGCATTTCTCTAATGGTCAGTTATATTAAGATTTTTTTATATGCCTGTTGGCTGCATGTATGCCTTCTTTTGAAAAGTGTATTCAAACTTTTCCAACCATTTTAGTGGGTTTTTTTTTCTTGTAAATTTGTTTAAGTTCCTTATAGATGCTAGATATTAGACCTTTGTCAGTTGCAGTTTGCAAATATTTTCTCCCATTCTGTAGGTTGTCTGTTTACCCTGTTGATAGTTTCTTTTGCTGTGCAAAAGCTCTTATGTTTAATTAGATCCCATTTGTCTCTTTTTTGCTTTTGTTGCAATTGCTTTTGGGTCTTCATCTTGAAAGGTTTGCCTGTTTCTGTGTCCAGAATGTTATTGCCTATGTTGTCTTCCAGGGCTTTTAGTTTTAGGTTTTACATTTAAGTGTTTAATCCATCGTGTGTTGATTTTTGTATGTGGTGTAAGGAAGGAGTCCAGTTTCAATCTTTTGCATATAGCTAGCTAGTTATCCCAGCAAAATTATTGAATAGGGAGTCCTTTTCACACTGCTTGTCAGCTTTGTAGAACATCAGGTGGTTGTAGGTGTTCAGCCTTATTTCTGATGAGCTCCCTAGTCTTTTCCATTGGACTATGTATCTGTTTCTGTACTAGTACCATAATGTTTTATTTACTGTTGCCCTGTAGTATAGTTTGAAACTGGGTAACATGATACCTCTAACTTTGTTTTTTTGTTGTTGTTTGCTTGTTTGGTGTTTTTTGTTGTTGTTGTTTGCTTTTTTTGTTTTTGTTTTTGCCTAAGATTGCCTTGGTTATGTGGGCACTTTTTTTTGTTGTTTCAAATGAGTTGTAAACTACTTTTCTTCTAGTTCTGTGAAGAATGTCATTGGTAGTTTTATACAAATAGCATTGAATCTGTAAATTGCTTGAAGCAGGATGGCCATTTTAATGATATTGATTCTTCCTACCAATAAGAATGAAATGTTTTCCCATTTGTTTCATCTCTGATTTCTTTAAGCAGTGTTTTGCAATTCTCATTATAGACATCTTTCACTTCCCTGATTAGCTATACTCCTAGGTCCTTTATTCTTTTTGTTGCAATTGTGAATGAGATTGCATTCATGATTTGCCTCTCAGCTTGGCTGTTCTTGGTGTGTAAGAATGCTAGTGATTTTCGTACGTTGGTTTTTTTATCCTAAATCTTCACTGAGGTTGTTTATTAGCTGATGGAACTTTTGGGCTGAGACTATGGGGTTATCTAGATATAGAATTATGTTGACTGCTAACAATGATAGTTTGAATTTCATTCTTTCTATTTGAATACGCTTTATTTATTTCTCTTGTCTGATTAACCTAGCTAGGACTTCCAATACTATGTTGTTAATAGAAGCGGTAAGAGATGGCATCCTTGTCTTGTGCTGGTTTTCATGGGGAATGCTTACAGCTTTTGTCCATTTAGTATGATGCTGGCTGTGGGTTTGTCATAGATTATTCATTATTTTGAGGTATGTTCCTTCAATACCTAGTTTGTTGAGAGTTTTTAACATGAAGAGATTTTGAATTTTATTGAAAGCCTTTTATGCATCTATTGAGATAATCACATGGGGTTTGCTTTTATTTTTGTGTATATGATTAATCACATTCATTGATTTACATATGTTGAACCAACTTTGCATCCCAGAGATGAAGCCTACTTGATTATGATGGATTATCTTTTTCATATGCTGCTGGATTTGATTTGCAAGTATTTTGTTGAGGGGTTTTGCATCAATGTTCATCAAGGATATTGTCCTAAAGTGTTCTTTGTTGTTGTGCCTCTGCCAGGTTTTGGTATCAGAATGATGCTGGCCTCATAGAATGAGTTAGGAAGGAATCCCTCCTCCTCAATATTTTGAACAGTTTCAGTAGGAATCAGCTCTTCCTTATACATATGGTAGAATTTGGCTGTAAATCCATCTGGCACTGGAATTTTTTTGGTTGACAGGGCATTTATTATTGATTCAATTTCAGAGCTTGTTATTGGTCTGTTCAGGGAATCAACTCCTTCCTACTTCAGTCTTGGGGTAGTGTGTGTGTCCAGGAATTTATCCCTCTCTTCTAAGTTTTCCAGTTTGTGTGCATAGAGGTGTTCATGGTAGTTTCTGACAGTTATTTTTATTTCTGTGGGGTCAGTGGTAACAACTCCTTTGTCATTTTTAAGTGTGTTTATTTGGACCTTCTCTTTTCTTCTTTATTAGTCTACCAGCAGCCTATCATATTAATTTTTTCAAAAAACCAACTCCTGGATTTGTTGATCTTTTGAATGTTGTTTTATGACTCCATTTCCTTCAGTTCAGTTCTGATTTTGGTTATTTCTTGTATTTTGCTAGCTTTGGGGTTGGTTTGCTCTTGCTTCTCTAATTCTTTCAGTTGTGATGTTAGGTAGTTACTTTGAGATCTAACATTTTGATGTCAGCACTTAGTGCTATAAATTTCCCTCACTACCTTGTAGCTATGTAACAGAGATTCTGACGTGTTGTATCTTTGTTCTCATTAGTTTCAAAGAACTTCGTGATTTCTGCCTTAATTTCATTATTTACTCAAAACTCATTCAGGAGCATATTGTTTAATTTTCATGTAATTGCACAGTTTTGAGTGATTTTTTTATAATCTTGACTTTCATTTTTTATTGTGCTGTGATCTGAGATTGTCTTTGGTATGATTTCAGTTCTTCTGCATTTGCTGATGATTGTTTTATATCTGATTATGTGGTTAATTTTAGAGTATGTGCCATGTGGCAATAAGAAGAATGTATATTCTGTTGTTTCTGGCTTTCCCCCTTACTTACTTTATAGTTTTATTGACTTATCTAAGCTCAAGGGAAATGACTACTTTGTTCTCCAATAAAACTAACTTCTCATCACACACACACACAAAGGTAACTAAGAGAGGTGATTAATATGTTAATTAGCTTGACAGTATTAATCATTTACTGGGTATGTATATGCCAAAACATGTTGTACTCCAAATATATATTTTTTATAAAGTTTATATGTATATATAATTTATAAAAACTTAAGAAATAAATTTGTCTTTCATCATTTATGTCCCAAATAGTTTATTTCTGTCAATGTATTTTTTCTTTCTTATTGAGTTAGTTAATTGCATTTTTACCACTTACAATAAACAGTTTTTTTAGCATATTTTAAAACTATTTTTAAAAACAACTTATTAATTATTTTTTTTTAGTCTTTATGGGGATGTACTTTTTCTTTTTTTTTTTTTAACTTTAGTTCCAGGGTACATGTGCCGTTTGTTCCACAGGTAAGCTTGTGTCATAGGGGTTTGTTGTACAGACTATTTTATCACCTAGGTATTAAGCTTAGTACCAAATAGTCATTTTCCTGATCCTCTCACTCCTCCTACCCTCTACCCTCTGATAGGCCCCCTGTGTGTTGATCCCTTCTATAAGTCCATCTGTTCTCATTATTTAGCTCCCACTTATAAGTGACAATATGCAGTATTTGGTTTTCTGTTCCTGTGTTACTTTGCTAAGGATAATGGCCTCCAGTGCCATCCAAGTCCCTACAAAGGACATGATCTTTTCTATGACTGCATCGTATTCCCTGTTGTGATTTTCTTAATTGCAGTCAATTGTCTTACAACTTCAAAAACTATTTTCCCATTGTTATTAAATATTTCAAATATGTATGGGAAGGGCAAGCTAATATTTATTCCTAATTTTATTTCATGAACGTAACTTATTTAAAACTTTTATTTTAGAATCAGAGAGTACATGTGCAGATTTATTACATAAGTATATTGCATAATGCTAAGGTTTGGAGTTTGAATGAATCTGTCAGCAAGGTACTGAGCATAGTACTCAAGCGGTAGTTTTTCAGCCCTTGCCCTCCTCTCTTTCCCTCCTCTACTAGGCTCCAGTGTCTATTTTTTCCTATTTTTATCTCTATGTATACTTAATGTTTAACTCCTACTTGTAAGTGAGAACATGTGGTATTTGGTTTTCTGTTTCTTCATTACTTCACTTAGTATAATGGCCTCCAGCTACATCCATGTTGCTGCAAATGAAATGATTTTTTTTCTTTTTATGGCTATATAAGATTCTATGATGTATATGTACCACATTTTCTTTTGCCAGTACACTGTTGATATACCCTGGGTTAATTTCATGGCTTTAATATTGTGAATAACACTACAAAGAACATACAGGTGCATGTGTCTTTTTGGCAGAATGATTTATTTTCCGTTGAGTGTATATCCAGTATTGGGACTGTTGGGTCAAATGTTAGTTCAATTCTTAGTTCTTTGAGGAATCTTCAAACTGCCCCTCCAGTGACTTATTTACATTACCACCAACTATGTATAAGTGTTTTATTTCCTCTGCAGCCTCAGAGGTAACCTGTTATTTTATCACTTTCTGATTATAGCTATTCCGACTGGTGTGAGATGGTATCTCATTGTGGTTTTGATATTCGTTTCTCTGATGATTAGTGATTATGAGCATTTTTTTTATGTTTGTTGGCTACTAGTCTGTCTTGTTTTGAGAAGTGTCTGTTCATGTCCTTTGACCATTTTTTAATGGGGTTATTTGATTTTTGCCTTTTGTTTTCTTCAAATTTCTTATAGATTCTGGACCTTCATTAAATGCATAGTTTGCAAATATTTTCCCCATTCTGTAGGTTGTCTATTTATTCTATTGAGAATGTCTCTTGTTGTGTAGGACCTCCTTAGTTTAATTAGGTTTCACTTGTCAATTTTTGTTGTTGTTGCAGTTGCGTTTAAGGATTTAGCCATAAATACTTTGCCAAGACCAATATTGAAAAGGATATTTCCTAGGTTTCTTTCTAGGATATTTATAGTTTGAGGTCTTACATTTAAGTCTTTATTTAATCCATCTTTAATTGATATTTGTATATGGTGATAGATAGGGGGTCCAACTTCACTCTTCTGCATATGGATAGCCAGTTATCTCAGCACCCACCATTTATTGAATATGGAGTCTTCTCCTCATTGATTATTTTTGTAAAATTTGTCAAAGATGAAATGGTTGTAGCTGTATGACTTAATCTGATCTCTTTATTCTGTTCCATTGGTCTATGTGTCTATTGTACCAGTTCCATGCTGGTTTTTTTTACTGCAGCCTTGTAGCATAGTCTGAGGTTGGGTAATGTGAAATTTCCAGCATTGTTCTTTTTGCTTAGGATTGCTTGGGCCATTCAGGCTCTTCTATTGTTCCATATGAATTTCAGAATAGTTTCTTCTGATTCTGTGAAAAATCAAGTTGTTAGTATGGTAGAAATAATGCTGAATCTGTACATTGCTTTGGGCAGTTCAGCCATCTTAGTAATATTGATTCTTTTGATCCATGACCATGGGATGTTTCTCCATTTATTTGTGTAATCTCTCAGGAGTATTTTGTAGTTCTCCTTGAAGAGCTCTTTCTCTTCCTTGGTTAGCTGTATTCCTGCTTATTTTATTCTTTTTAGCTAATGTAAATAGAATTGCATTCTTGATTTGACTCAGCTTAAACTTTATTTGTGTATGGAAATGCTACTGATTTTTGTACACTGATTTTGTACTGTGAAACTTTACTGAAGTTGTCTATCAGTTCTAGGAGCTTTTTGGCAGAGTCTTTTAGTGTTATCTAGGTATAAAATCGTATTGTCATTGAAGAAAGATAGTTCAAGTTCTTTTCTTATTGTGATGCCTTTTATTAACTTCACTTGCCTGATTGTTCTAGCTAGGATTTTCAATACTATATTGAATAGGTGTAGTGACAATGGGTATCCTTGGTTTTGCTTCTCAATCTCTCACTTCTCCTTTCTGTTAATATTTATTTTAGATTTCTCTGTAAATATAACTTTGAATATTTTTCTTTTTCTACCTTGATCGGATATGGTAAAGGTTAAGCTGCTGTAAAAATTAGACCCAAAAATGTAATGATTTGGGTAAGATAAATATTTATTCATCTCTTAATAGTTTGACCATGGGAAGTTCTTACTGGAAGACCAGATTTACTTACCAAAAAGTCATTCAGAAAGACAATTGCTTCCATTTTGGGATCTTTCATCATGTAAGTTATTATTATTATTTGATTGATTAAAACTAGATGTCTGTCTGTGTTTTTGCTTATAGGAAGATAAAATAAAGTATTGTACAAGCAATTTATAGGAAGATAAAATAGAGAAAGTTCTGCACAAACAGTGAGAGGAAAGTTGCACACACATTTTTTTCTGTACATATTTAATATATGAGGTCTTAGCCCATCACCCTGGCTCTTCATTTGGGAGATGATATGCCTAAGAAAATGAAGAAATGGATACTGAAGGGACCACTGCTATTCTCTCAGACACCTCATTAAAAGTCTGAGTAAACATGTGTTCAATGCCTGCCTGAAAAAGTCTCATTTTATATATTTACACATGATGCAATTCCACCTTATTATTAGATACATAGGCTTCCTGTTTCAGGACAATAACACAGCTACAGTAAATTGTTTTTCCATTAATATATTTCTGTTCTTCAGTTTATAATTATGGTTATATTAAAACCATTGCAAATGTTTACTGTGTTGATAGGCTTCTGTTTTCTGTAGTTTGTTTATTGTATTTTGGAGGCCTACATTTAAAATTTAACAATTGCTTTGCAGGCTAGTTGTTTCTTTTCTGAAAATGCATAAATGTCAGAAAATGTTACGTTGATTAAAGGTGGGTGTTATGTAAAGTCTTAATTTTATTTTTATATGTAGATAAATACATACATTATTTCTAGAAATTCAAATATTCTTCCCTACTAGGTGTAAGGGAAATTACAGTATAAAATTCATAAAAATCTGTTCGTTTATTTAGTATTTTTTTAGTATTTTTCTTCTAACTGAAGGATTTAAGTAGTACAACTGTGTTGATTGGAATTATCACATTTTCACACACAATAAAACCTAGTTATATTTTGATGATTCTAGAGTTAGGATTGCTGATATAAAGAAGAATTTTGAAACAGTTTTCATTGTCGCAAGCTTCCCCTGGCACAGTGTTCCTTTTTCTATCAATTGCCAAGACCAGGTGCATTGCTAATAGCCTCTGATCAGGGTTCTCCAGAGTGATGGATCACAATTCACACTCTTACCACAATCCAAAAGAGCCTCAGGTCAACAGCTTTCAGCAGGGTGTCACCTGTTAGCTGAGAGGTATGAGTTGAGATAATCCAATCTAGCTCCTAGCAGGGGCTTTCTGAGCACCATCCCCCAGGCTTTTTGGAACGCCAGCACTTTTTCATCAGTTGACATGCTGGGCTGCAAGAGTTGGAGAGAAAACTTGGCACAATAAGTGGCAGCTTCCTGCTCTAAAATATTTTGAGGCTCCAGAACACATTCATTACTAACTAGTATTCCTATACTTAGCTGACTGCATAAGAATCCTGAAGGGGTGCTTCTTTAAAAATCGTTTTTGTGGGCCCTACACCAACTTATCTGTGGAGTGGGCCCAAAAATCTGTGTTTTAATAATGCCTTCTGCCTCTGGTGTTGCTGATGTGGTCAGGCAGGTGCTTGCCTATTAACTGGCACTTAAAAACTACATGCAACAAAGAATTAGACGTGATGGAAAATTCAAGCAGCCTATTTAGGATCCATCTCTAAATCAAGCTAGAAACCAGAAATTTGTCAAATTTAGAGTTAGCATTGACATAAGAAACCATGATGACATTTCTATTTATTATTGTTGCTGATATTTCTCAAGTTTTACTTGATTAGTTCTGAGATAGAAGTAACATTGAGCACATTCGTGTGCTAAAGTCTTATTGTCATTGAAGATACAAAGATTTAAGCCTTAAAGAAGAGTGGGAGAATAATGCACAAGGTAAAGCAAGACTTTAAATGAAAGAGTTAATAAGTTTATCCAAGAAATGGGTATAAAAGGTAAAATGTTGATGCCACAAATCTGTAAAAAACAAACAACAAAAAGAAACAAAACCCTGACTTGTTGGTGTCTCACTAGAGTGTCCAATTCACAAACTTGCAGAAGGTTTAGGAATCTATGCTTTATAATCTTACCAGGTACTTCATATGCATACGTAAATTATAAAACCATTGTATACAACCAGAAGATGCAGGCTAGATTCCTACCCACAGTTTGGTTCAGATGTAGAGACTGATAAAGCCACACATACCCCAAGAGCGCACAAAAAGTTTTGTTACTCACATAATGGGGCTTTTCTGAAGAGAGGAAGGCAGGCCTCCTAAATTGGCCTAAAAGCAAGGGAAGGGAGATTGTCTTTGGATCCTTATTGTTAGGAGGTGGGGCCAGGAGGGGAAGGGGTTTACATGGTTTGAGCTTCTGACCTGTGCCAAAGTAGGAAGCACACAGACTTTCTTATCCACTTTTTATAGATGTGAGGGAGTAGGAGAGCAAGGAGGAGTGAGATGTAGAAGCTGTAAGCCATCAAACATCAAAAATTTTGGTCGGATTCTTTATTACAACAGCTTTAGTCTATAATAAATGCAATTCAAAATAGAAATAATAGACATATATTATCAAAAGAACATTGGTAACATTGAAATAGAACTGCATAATTAATGTGCTTAAAAATTTCTGTCATTGATAACTTCATCATAATACTCATTATTGTTCTAGGCAACAGAAACAAAATTCTAAACAACTGCAAATGGGCAGCGGGGGACAAAGGAATTGATGAGGAAGTGACAGCATTAAGTTACTTGAGATGGGGGCTTAGCAACTGGTTTCATTGAGACTCTATAGATGAATTGTCTACACTGAACAATCCTAATGACATTGGCTTTGCTTCATGTTTGTAAATAAAATGTACAGCATTATTTTATCTTGAATAAATGAAGGGAAAAAGGAAGTTGAATTAAGCCAACAACAGTGTGTTTAACAGTGACACTTTTGGAATATTTTCCATTATTTTAAAGTCTAGATTAATGTGTTGCAGGAAATACTATGGCCTTTCTGCCCCTTAGGCTTTGCCACAACTTAGACAAATGACCCTTCCTAGTTGTTCAAAGTGTTAAAGCTTTCCTGCTACTAGCAGTGAAGAAGGATGGATTCACGGAGATTTTAACAGATTGACAACATCTTATCTTAGTGGTGCACACATGCTTCAAGAAGGCAGAAAAGGCAATTTACCCTCCACTGTGACTATTTATTTGCTTTTTAATTGGCTTGGACTAGTTTTGTACAAGAAACCATTAAATCATAGTTGAATACAAAAGAGGTGTGTAATGGGGGACAGCATCTGTGTTGGTAATTTCTAAGTAAATAAATTACACCTATTCAAACACTTCACAGAGCATTTAGATGAACAATTAAGTTCTAGGTCAGTGTTAGTTTCTGGAGATGTACAAGATTTGTGTAATTCTGATTAACAAGCATGTTCCTAAATGAAGAGAACTATCTGCATTTAGCTGTTAATGTAACAGTCACTATGATTTAATGCAACTGTCACTATGATTTAATGCAGATTGATGTAGTCAGGAGAAGTAATGCATATATTGTTCATTAGACATGGAGATGTTTAAGTTGTAATAAAATTATAAAACCTCAAATGTAAGTACAAAACTCCATTTTTTATTCTGACAAATTATATTTTATAATTTGTGAATTACATATAAAAATTAAGCATGTACATTATCTTTTGATACAAATTTCTAAAGACTCTTGAGTTCAAATCACATTCTCGCTTCAGTGTACCATTGACATTTAATGCAACAAATTTATTCATCTGGAAATAATATTTAAATTTTCTCAATGTGACAAAGCGAACATCAAGCTCAATGATAAATTCTTATTTGTATCCATGTGTAGGAGGTCTACAAAGTCCCTTTTGCTTTCAATGTTTTTTTTTACATTTATTTATTCCTTTATATTTTTATTTTTGAGACAGTGTCTCACTTTGTAACTGAGGCTGGAGTACAGTGGTACAATCTAGGCTGATTGCAGCCTGGACTCCTAGGCTCAAGGGATCCGCCTACCTCAGCTTCCCAAGTAGCTGGGACCACAGGTGCATGCCACCAGCCCTGCCAATTTTTGTCTGTTTCGTAGAGATTTCACCATGATGCCCAGGCTGATCTTGAACTCCTGAGCTCAAGGGATCTGCTTGCCTTGGCCTCCCAAAGTGCTGGGATTACAGGCCTGGCTTGCTTTAAATGTTAATTTAACATTATGAACATCCTTCTGATAAAGTGACTGTTTTCACCATTTCAGAATTTAGGGAAATTCTTGGCGAAATATGATAAACTTTTCTCTTTGGGAGACTAAACTAGTGTGTGTGTGTGTGTGTGTGTGTGTGTGGGTGGGTGGGTGTTATAAGTCAGCTGGTGAAAGATTAAGAAAGCCAAGAAATAGCCACCAATTGGAAGTTTTTCACCAAAGCTGCTTTCACTTTTGAAAAGACATAACATTAAGTAATAAACATATATTAGCCACTCTGGTTTGTCAACCTTCTGCTCTTGTATTGTTTCCTTCCTCAATTGCAATTATTTCATAGGTTTGAGCAGTGAATTCCTATCACAAACTGTCTTAGAAGGTCAAGCTCTGTTCAAAGGACCTTTTATTTCTTTGCTTTCCTGGTGGAAGGGGAAGTGTCCTTATATATTCTGTCCATATACGCAACTTAATTCAATTAATTATATTTAATTACAACTTTTTCTCATTTATGGCAATGTGAGGTGACTTCCTCTATTTTCTAATAAGGTATATTAAAAGCAGCAAAAAATAAATTTAACACAAAATAAAACATAACTGTATTACAGAATACATTATGCTTTCATTCTTCCTCTTTTGTAATTTATTTTTAACTATCTCTTTAGAAAAATAATAGCTCAAGCTTTGTATTAGGATACAACATTAGGGTGAACAAATTTTTTTAATGTTTGTACATTCACTTTTTCCCCAGTCGAAGAAAGGATGTTTACGTAGCAATTAGTCAAGAAGTCTCTTTGGAATTTAAAATTACAGTTGCTCAAGTTTCCCTTTATTTATATGAGCTTTATATTTAAGTTAAATAGACATAGCATAGCTGCAAGTACTCATAAAAATCATTTTTATCTGTATTTATTTTTTTAGAAATCACGACTAATTGTGTCTTCATATTAATATATGCTCATAATATCTATGTTCAAATATTACTGAATAAATGGATAGATGTATATCTATGCCAGGCACTGAACTCAACGTGTTGTTGCATTATTTCTCACATAATCATTGTTAAATTTTCAAACAAGGTATTATTTTCATTTTATTTCTAAAATTGATATTTTAAGATTTTAGATGATTTACTCAGATTTAAGAGTAAAACAGAAAATAGTTTTAGTTTGTGAAAACTTGACTCAAAAATTATATTTTTTCTCACTTTTTATAACTTCAATAAATGTTTAATTATTCCACATTTTATAATTTCAAACTATGGCATCAAAAGACAGTTCAGTGGTGTGTGAAAACTGAAACTAACATAATTTCCTATGTTAAACATTAATGGGACCACACTTTTTTTTCCTATGATAAACAGTACGAATTTCAAAAAATAAGATAGTTACTTGTTTTGCTGAGATAAGACTGCAAATTAATATGTTACGTTTCAAGACTATCAAATTTTCTCATTGACACGCTCTTCATAACTTTCACCTTATTATGTCTACCAATCCAGTGCATAAGCCCAATTAGGTCCCTGTCTTTGAAGACCTGTCTGAATTATAAACATTATTATTAGGAAAAAACAAGTGGGGTGATATGTATGAATGGTTTCTTCTGGTGTGGCAAATCCCCTTTTTGTGATATTGTGAAAGCCAAGTTATTCTGGACTACATTTGAAAAACCTGCTTTTTTAGTATATTCATTTCTGTGCATATGTTATTCTGTACTTTATTTAATGTTTTACTTGTTAAAACAATTTTTTGGGATTCTGATATTTTAATATCTGTCCCAATTCAAGATTCAATATGAGACCTCTTCCATTACACCTCATATGAAAGTTTATTTTACAAATTATCTAAAAGACATAGGTGGCTATTTTCTCTTAAGTCATTTTAAATATATTAGGCATAAGGCATGATATAAGAAATTTTATGACTTTTTTTCCAAATTTAGTTTTAGTGTTCTTTTTTTTCAGGTTGCAAACAAAAATAAATTAGCTATATGAAACAAACAGGAAGACTAATAATAAGAAATAAGTAAAGGTGAGACTAAGCAGAAAATGAAAATAACCTAAGTAAATTGTGTTCTGCTTTAAATTTTACCTAGGGGCTTTGAGATACTATAGCCTAACCTGAATTGCTTTAAAATTCCAAATCACTATGGCAATTTATTATACACGTATCACTGTAGAGTAGTAGAATACAGAGAGAAGAAAATGTTCTAAGAAACATGCAAGTAATTGTAGATTAGGCCATTCACTGCTAAAGTAAACATGCTCCAGAGCTGATCATTCTCCATTATACATGTTCTCTAATCACTCACTCCCCCCAAAATATTCTGAATTATTTTTTAGCTTCTACCTTAAAATCATGTCCTGATAGGATTGACATGTTTTTTCACAAATTTCCAATAAGACACTCATGAAAACACAAGAAGTGATTAGCAAAGCACACCACATGAAAATTTAGTAATAATTAGCCTAGTACCAGAATTAGGATTTGATGAAATAAGGCTGGAAACTTAGATAATCTGATGCCTAATTCCATCTTAATGAAAATAGAGACTCAAATGTTCCCCATTTGTTCTCTTCCTTTGTCTCCTTTTTCAACTGTATAAGTTTCATCCCCATCTCTAAACAGAGAAGACTGTTCCCTTACTTGGTGTATACTCTTTTGGGTCAGTCAAGATCAATGTGCACAAGTGTCTTGGCCACTGACAAGATTCACATGAAACGAATTGCTCAGTGGTTAGTGGGCTGACTGCTCATGCAGATACCAGAAAGAATAGGATTCTCATGTGCCTCTGCTCCCCACCAAGAATGACAAGAAGGGCCCTTCTGAGAAAGTAGTAGAGTCAAAATGCTCAGGGACATAATGAATTCAGGAAATGATGGCAATGAATGTACAATATCAGGAGAACTGTAAGAATATGGGACATAGGATGGTGCAGCAGAACGGAAGATGAAAACCAGATATTTAAAATAGACATATAAATGTAGTCTTGTTTCTTGTTGATAAGGTACAAGTGTTAAGGTGAAGTAGAGGGAAACATCATTGAATGTTAGATTATTAATATAAAAATGTTCAGGTTGAGATTATTTCATCTATATAGATGTTTATATCATTGGGATTGATAAAAGGAGATGGGGAAGAAAAGTCTGTGAACGAGAGGCTAAAATTGAGCAAAAGAATGGGAGGGCGAAGAGGTGATTCACAGAAAGAGAGGATGATATTGGCTTGTGCTTTTTAGGTGTATTCCATGGACCAGCAGCACTGGAGTCCCTCTGAGGTTTTAGAAGTGCAGAATCTTGTCTATTCCAATCTTACTGAATCATAGTCTGCACTGCATTTTAATACAAACTCCACATGGTTTGCATTAAAGTGTGTGACACACTGGTATGGAAAGACAATATATATCTTAAAGGAACCAAAGATTTTTTTTTTTTTTTTTTTTTTTTGCTTATTTAAAGAAAAAGAGTAATGTCTGGAAGCATTGATAATGAGCCATGTCAGTCCTTGTCTCTGACATATGTGATGTGTAAGAGAAGAGCCTTAAGAAGGCCGCAGAGGAAGCTTGTTTTCTGAAGAAAACTATTTTAAAAAAAGGTGTTGTTTTAAAGTATGTTTTCTGATTTAAACCCATCTTCATATGGGGAAGAGGTAGATTTTCATTTGTTTGTTTCCTTGCTTGTTTTCTGTGAGTGTTGTGTTTTTAGTTTGGTTGGTTGGGGTTTTTTTTAAATTTGTTTTTGTTTTTTTTTTTTTTTGAGACGGAGTCTCGCTCTGTCACCCAGGCTGGAGTGCAGCGGCGCGATCTCGGCTCACTGCAAGCTCTGCCTGCCGGTTTTGCGCCATTCTCCTGCCTCAGCCTCCTGAGTAGCTGGGACTACAGGCGCCCGCCACCCCGCCCGGCGGCTAATTTTTTGTATTTTTAGTAGAGACGGGGAGGGGGGGTAGGTTTCACGGTCTTAGCCAGGATGGTCTCGATCTCCTGACCTCGTGATCCGCCCACCTCGGCCTCCCAAAGTGCTAGAATTACAGGCTTTGTTTGCTTTTTGAGCCAGGGTCTTGTTCTGTCACCCAGGCTGGAATGCAGTGTCACAATTACAGCTCAGCCACTACCTTCCAGGCTCAAGTGATTCTCCCACCTCAGCCTCCCAAGTAGCTGGAACCACAGGTGTATACCACCATGCCTAGCTATTTTTGTTTGTTTTTAATATCAAAGAATGATTCAATATTATGTGAATTCAGGGTTGAGAACAACTGATTTAGGCAAAAAAAAAAAAAAGATAAAAAGGCTAAGAAATTTTAAAAATGGGATTCTTTTTACCAGAGTGTGGCAAACCCCAGTGGAGGACCCTAAAAGTGCTTGGGAATACTAGATTGAGTAGAATGTATATCTGGGTGAATGATGACCATCAGTGCTTGAACATCTGATAATGACTCAAGTTTACCTATATTTGAATCATAATATGATTGGTTTTGTTGGTTTCTGAAACCCTGCAGTCACCAGTTCTATTGCTGTTTCTCTTTGTGTTAAGGTTTAGACGTGGTAGCTCCTTGTGCCTTGGTATAAGATGATGACTTTTACTGGAAGTAACTTACACATGTTTAGTTTTGAACTTTTGCAAATGTCTCTAAGATAATGGTATTCCCAAGCATGCTGCCCACTTCCTAAGCCTTATGTGCTACAGTAGCATTCACTGGCAGAGGCTCAAGTCTTAGAGCAGCAATTTCTTAACTAGAAGCTTTAAGTGTATAAAAGTAATACATAAACTAGTTCTTCTAGAAATAATAATTGAAAAGAGAAAAACTTAACTATTGATATTTTACTTGATTTATTTGGTATGTTTTCTCCCCTCATTCCATTTCCATTATTCCTTTTGCTTTAACATAGAGCTTTATTTTTACAATAGATTTTATTTAATATATTTAACATTTAATTTAAACATTTTATATATTAACAAACATTCTGTTAACTTTATCTCAATGACAACTTGATTGGGCATAGAATTGTCAGCTATTTCTTTTTTTTTTTTTCCTTAAAGAACCTGTGAAACTTGTTTATTTGCAGTCATTTCAACATCCTTCAAACTGGTCACCCCACTACAATTTCTGCCTTCTAGTGATCCATTTGTCACAAAGCAGGCATGGTAGTCCCATTAAATTATAGATTTATTTGTTACTCCCCAACTTAAAACTCTCTTGTGGCTTTCCAACTGTCAGAATAAAACACAAACTACTAAATGTAGCATAACCAGTCTATACATAACTGGTTAGTGAACTGTGTGCAGATGACACAATTCACAGCAATCACAGGTTCCGAGACAGAGCTATAGGGCATGGAGAGGTGGGATATCCAGCCAGCTTGACGAGCTGCAAACACATGTGATGCCAAAGGGCTCAGCCTTCCTCCAGAGGTCAAAACAGCCAGTATAATTCTTCATGGCAAGCCAAACACAGGTGTTTCTTGTCTCATTAACAAGACCTATCTAAACAGACATAATTAACAAGAGAAGTATTTAACTTTACAAAATACACCAGAATATTTTAAATGTATTTGGATAGTAGTTCATAATTCGGATGCATTTTCTAAATGAAGCCTAACTAGGCCCTCATCATGTGACTACCAGCATCTGTCACAAAAAGGCCCAGCCCACATCTCCTACATCATTTCATACAATTCTTCTCAGGCTCAGAACACTTCAGTTTCACTAGAATACTTTCTACACCTCAAATGCTGCCAACGTGATCTCACCTCAGAGACCAAAACCTCAAAACACTGGATTATTCATATCATTTGAATCTCAGTTAACTTTCTTCTTCTAGAGAGACCTTCCCAGCCTTCTGACTCTAAATCACCAACAACCACAATCCTTCCCCATTCTTCCTCGTACTATCAGTTTTATTTATCTCTTGTAGTTATTGTCTGTAAGTATCTGGTTCAAGTTTTGCCTTCCTTTTTATGTCATTGTTTTGCCTCCTTCTGCCTCTAGATGTAATAATTCACCACATTCCACAGCCTCCTCAAAATATTTTTCATGTAATAAAAACAAATCTGGTATTGCTAGTCATAGCTCTATCTCTAGGACATCTATCAGTGCCTAGGGCATTAATAACATATTTAATTCTTTTTTATGTCAGATTCTTCCTTGGAAATTCTTTCAGTTGCCCATTCTTTTTTGTTGTCTGCTTTTCCTATTTCTTGAATAACCTAAACATGCAGTTCTTCATATAAACATAAAGTATATTATGTTTTTGTTGTTGAACTCTCTAATATTAAATGGATGGTATTTTGGTCCTCAAATCAGCTAGTCTAATTCCTCTTACTGCTTTTTATTTCCTGCTGTGGTTCATGTGAGGAGGGACTTATTCTTGAAAATTTATGTTCAATTGACTGCGGGACAGATATTTTGGGTAATGTGAAGCAGTCTGTAAATTACTCCCTTTATGTAATTAGAGAGTGAAAAGGCACAACACTTAGCATTTACTGATCACAATGTCTTTCAATGCCTTTTCTCTGGTTCCCTTTATGTCTATGACAGCAAATTCTACCATCTACCCATGTTTGTCCTATACCTGTTTTAATTATGGAAATGATGGTACATAAATAGCTTTAGAAGGTGCTTTGTCTAATTTGGGATCATGTTGGAAAGAGTTCCAGCTAGAAAGAAAGCAGTTTTCATTCATTCATTTGGTTCATTTGGTTCGTTCATTTGGTTCACTTGGGTTAGGCTAAGTAATGATATGGTAAAAACCTGTGACCTCAAAAGCTTAAGGCAGCCTTTGGGCTGGAGAAGAGAACACAGGAGAGTTGCAGTCTGGCAATTAAATGTTTCCTGAAAGTGATTCATATCACCTACTCACATTTGACTGGCCAGTGCAGTTTAATGGCTACAACTTCAAGACAAAAGAAAAGTGCCACTGTTCCATGCACCTGGGAAGAAAGGAATATTGGACATTGATAAGGGCTTGAAATGCCCACAGAAGCCCCTAAACCACTGAGGAAGGGAGTAACTGATAGGGTGGCAGGAAATATTCTCCTTTTTGATAGACTCAAGTTTCATAATCACAAACACAGATTTTCAAAAGTAAATGTAACTGTCATTTTTGTATAACAACTTAAGTCACAAACCCTATTCTGCTTAATGTAGATATAAAATATATTGTCTTGGAAGTAAATGCAACCATCTCTGTTTTTGTTTTTTTGTTGTTGTTTTGTTTTGTTTTCATAGAATTGTTATTTAAAAGCAGCTTCATTTACCTTCCTGGCTAGTTTTCTTTCCTATCTCCTGAAGGACTCAGGTACAGAAACAGCCTTGGTCAGGAGGAGCCATAAGCAGTTCCTTGTCACGTTCAATAGCCAGCATCTTGCTCCAGAAGCCAGTTATTGCCCTTGGGCTAGAGAGTGTCTCATTCTGTACAGGCTTCCCACAGAGATAGATTATCTCTTTAAGTGATCCACTTATAGCACTTGTATCCCCTTTTTCCATCCTTCTAGCCACAAAGCACCTTAAATGACTAAAATAATTCACCCTCCATGAATCATGCATCCATGCCTCACTTTCCAGAGTACTATGGGGAAAATGTGTTAATTAGACGTGAAGAATGTTGACTTCTTTTGTTTATTGTAGGTGGGTAAAAGAGGAGGGTGCTATGGTTGGTAATAGAGTCATACTGAGCTTATGAATGTTTGGCATATTATAGACCACTAAGCTTAGTTTCCATTCTACTTTAAACAACTCATAAGTTTTTCTGTGTTTTCATGAATATTTAAATTTGAATGTAGGGAGAGGGTAAATTACTCCAGGTATGTTTTCCAAAATGTTACTGTTTAGTGTTGTCTACTATCTAATTTGTTTTAGATGTCAAGCCAGCATTTAAATACTCATGAGGACAGAAACAGATAGATAGATAGATAGATAGATAGATAGATAGATAGATAGATAGATTAGATAGACAGACAGACAGACAGACATAGTTATTTCATTGAGAGAAGTTACACCACAGTGTTATGAAGTATAATGTTGGAAGTCAGAAACATGTGGGGTGAACTCCTAGATCCACCACTTAGTTATATGATGTCCTACAAGTAACCTAAACTCTGTACATCTTAATTTTACCCTCTGAGGAAATCTAATCTATGTCTTTTATCAGAGAGGCATATTAAGGATGGCCTCCGGTGGATAATAGTGATATGTCTGCCACAGTCTGTTTTGAGTTTAATGGCTATACCTATAAAATCCTGAACATGGGTTCAGATATATAAAAATCCTCAATAGACTATTTCTAATTGGTATTAGTATTATCTTAAGGCATGGCTTAGCTATGAATGTACCTAATGAAAAGATAAGATGTAATATATAAATTTTTTAAATTTTCTCCCTTTAACATAGTGTCAGGCATTTTTTTCAAAGCATGTGATAGGTCTGTTAGCTAGTCTGATCCGAGACACAGAATATAGTAGAAATTAAGTAAAGCAAGATTAAAAGATAATTTCAGGAAGTGGGGACATGAGCAAAAGCATACAGAAAAGAATGCAGTTTGCTATTGCTAAAATAACTGCAAAACAGTGAGTGATAAAGATGAACATGGATAGGCACATATACATTAGGTCATTGAAAACTTCAATGGTCATAGGAAAGGTATATTATGATACTTTGTATAAAATTTTTTGTTTTTATATTTGATAGAAATTCATTTCATAATTTAAAAAATAAGAGCTTTTCAGCCACATTTCATGATATTTTGATCAGCCTGATAACTGTGCAAAGTATGTATTTGTGGAAGTTTGCAGGCAAAGATGCAAAAATACAGCCAAATAAAGAATTTCAGGTAATAGGTACTGAAAATTCAAGTTGATGTAGTAGGCCGAGAAACAGGAACAGCTTGAGGATTATTTATTAAGTAAAATCAGCTCTACCTATTGACTGAAAACATGCAAGGGTAAAAGATAACATGAACTTTAGTGGTGCCAAAGAAAAGTTTATAGGGTAATGGGAATCACTAGGGGAATGACTAGCATTATGAGAAAAGTTGATGAATAGTGTAAGTGAAATAGAGGGCGTATAATTGTGGTAAAATATAAAGTACATAGGAGTATTCAGAATCTAGAGATCTGAATTTGGGAGCAATCAACATGCAGTTGGTTGTTAACCTGTAATAGTGGATGAAATCACTTGAAGAAGTGACTCCGGAGTGTAGAGAACTGTCATCAAAGAGGGATAAATAACTTCAAAGCAGAGAAATAGCATACCACAAAGAAAGAATGGTATCCAAGAAAGACAGTATTATCTTCTTTATTAATATTAATATCTATGGAGAAAAATAGAATAGATTTTTTCCACTTCTGGAGATACTTACTAAATCCCAGACAGGACAGAAAATACTACTGTATTTTCTCAGTAACCACCCTGAAATATCACTTTAGAGATGGAGAAATTTAAAAAAAAAAAATTAGTTTGGAAAGATTACCCAAATGTCTAGAATAAGAATGCCAGGATTTCAGTTCAAGTCCTTCTGGAACTAAAGATTCTGCTGCTGCTGCTGCTGCTTTTTTTTTTTTCAAATCTACTTATGAGTTTTAATAAGAAAAAAATATGATATTCTATAAAAATGTAAGGCAAAGAAATATAGTTTGTTTTATTTCATAAGAGTTACATATATTTGGCATTTCTTTGTATTTTTATTCATGTATTTAGAATACTTTAACATTTTTTATGTAATGGAGAGAATAAATACAGTGAGTAACTTTTTTGATACCAGTGAAACTATCATTTGTTGGATATTTCTAGGTTTCTGAATGTTTTATTTGTATTAAATATATTCATTAGTAATTCTTATATTTGTTTCTCATACGTTTTGTTATCCCTATTTGGTGGATGGAGATATTACAAATAAGGTCAGTTCTATGTAGGAGACCAAAGATTTTCATGCTGATTTCTTAGTGCCATCGTTTAATAAGCAAGAGTACTTTGCAGAGCTGCCATTTGACAGTGCCTCTGTAATCACACCTACAAAGAGGAATCTGGCTTTAGAAAAGACTGATTTTAGTTTTTCTCCTGTCTTTCTCTTTGTTTAACTTATTCTGTCTTAACAATCATGTAGTGTGGGTGCTACTCACTTCCAGCTACTTACAGGAAAAAATTAGTCATAGGAAAAAGTGAAACAAAACCAGTAAATTGCTTTGTCTTCCCAATAATTCCCTACACAGCTAAAAGATGCCACGTTTGTTTCTTTCATTCAACAATATAAGAATTCGAATAAGAAGTAAAGAAGAACATGGCATGAAGAAAGAAGTTAAGCAATCATTCCAAGTAAATATATTCTTGTTCAAAAATTAAAATTCTGTATTGAATACAGCTAGAAGATACTGCCATTTGAAGCACCATGGCTTATAATTTTATAGGTTGTCTTAAGGATCCATACTACCTCGTTTTAAATTTTGCCTCAAAATTGGTCAAAAGCATTATTATGTGACTGAACTCTGTATTTTCTCAGGAATAAACCTATACAATTTTTTTTTTAGATCTCAATACACTCTATAAAATTGAAAGGGAAATGTATAGACCTACTCATCATATAGATTGTCAATTTCTCATTGTATTCTTCACAGAGAGAGTCTTGTCTTTTTCCTAAATTTCAATAGCAGTAAAGCAATACATTTAGGTTTCACTGAGATTAGTATTCTTCTCTTTGATTCTGCAAATATTATTTTGCAAGCAGTATTACTATTCTGATCCCTAGAGAGATGGGCCATTTTCAAAAGATATATAACACTTAGTGCCTCATGTTTCTGCTTACGTGCACAACTAAAAGGAGGTTTGCAAGAGCTAAACTGACATTTTTAAATCTTATAATGTGAGAGTTATATTATGTGGGCAATTTTCCTGGCATTTTATATTAATACTGCATGCTATCGCAATTCATTTTCACCAATTTAGAAGGTGTAGAAACATGCTGAACACTTCAGTAAAATGGTATAATGATTATATTTGCATACCATAAGAGTGGAAGCAAATAGTAAAAATATACAGCACCAGTATTTTATGAAGGGCAACTGTAATACAAATGACTACTTAGTAAAGTATTTTATTATCTTCAACTGGTAGAGAAATAGCTGCTTCATTGAGCTTGCTTTTGTGTCATACTGTAAAATTCATAAAGTAATATCCACTGAAGTTAGTAGAGGTTTGAGTAAATGACCATAAATACTGTTTTATATTTTACCCAGAAACTGCACTGCTACATTATTAAGGAAATCTCTCCTTCTAAATTGTGTTCATTTAATTGAATTACTGGGCATTAACTTGATGTAAGCATACAGGAATTCACAATGTAATGTAAGCTATTTATTGAATCACATTTATTTCACTATGTAGATCTTTTTCCTATTCAGAATTTTTAAAATAGCAGAGAGAGCAGAGGAATTTGATTTTGTTTTTCTTTGTTTTTATTTTTAACATTCTCATAGTTTTTAATAGAATTTGATGTTTATTACAAGCTTAGGCCATGGTCGCAAGTTGAAAATTAGATGAAAGGTCTATCTATTGTACTTTCTTTTTTTAGCCATGAGATTTGAGAAAGTATAAAGGTAGGTCATATATACAGCAAATCAGGTGATATTTTTCTTCTTAAGCAGCTTTGAAAATCTATCATAAAAATGATTTAAAAGATTATATTTGATTTTTTGTGATTAGGTTGTCATTTTGCATACTCGGGAATGTTCATGATTATTAGTATCCAGTATCAAAGAAAATATATAATAAAATGCCAAGAATAACACAATTTTTGACTGCAGAGAAAGCATGCTATGATGGAAAGCAAGTTAATATGGTCATCAGAAAAACTGCTCTGGGCCTGCGTTTGGCAAGTTGTTAAAATGCAGAGTCTTAGTTATCTCATATCTCAAGCGGAGGTTAAAAGATCTCACATTGATACTGGAGCAAATAAGCTCCAAGTTGAAAGTGAGTAAGGTTTTCTGGGAGATGAACATAATGAAATTAGATGAAAATTGTGGCTATGGAATAGTATATGGAACCAAAGTTAACATGGGTAACTTTTTGGTGGGGGGAAATAGAGTCCTGCTTTGTCACCCAGACTGGAGTGCAGTGGTGCAATCTTGAATCACTGTAACCTCCACCTCCTGGGTTCAAATGATTCTCTTGCTTCAGCCTCCTGAGTAGCTGGGATTACAAGCATGTGCCACCACTCCTGGCTATTTTTGTACTTTTAGTAGAGATGGGGCTTCATCATGTTGGTCAGGCTGGTCTCGAACTCCTGACCTCAGGTGATCTGCCTGCCTTGGCGTCCCAATAGGGAGGGATTACAGGCCTGAGTCACCTCACCCAGCCCATGTGGGTGCCATTTTGGCAGGCAGTCCAAAATAAAGGTTTGTAAGATGTGCCAATTATGTAGAATTTTGTGACAAAATAATTGGTGATCCAAGAAAAGAAAATGAATTAATAAACATACATTGTATTAATAAATATATATTTTGTCTATATTGCTAGGAAGTTTTCTCAATAAATTTGGGGGTTAGGGCTAGGGTTGGAACAAACCAAAACAAACAGGGGTTAAGAAACACTTAAAGAATTAAGGAAAGAGAGAGACAAGGGAGAAATAATAATGGTAAATTACCAAAACAAACAAACAAAAAATAAAAAGCAGGTTATTCTGTTGTCTACATATTCTTCCTAAATGATATAAGAAGTCATAATTTATAATATATACGCCAAACTCAACAATGGCTAAATAAAACTCATTCCTCCATCTTGAAAATGTCTTCTTTTTTTTAATGTAATTACTAAAAATAAAATATTGGAGTCTTATTTCGTTAATATTTTCTATGCACATATTTCCTATTAGCTGCCAAGTCAATTCCATCTGCCATATTTTCCTAATGTGATCTGAAGTTTCAATACCTGTTATCATTGAGGCAGTTCAGATCCTTATAATCACTCTTCAGAAGCATTAGATGGTCTGCTTTGTTACAATTTTCTCTTTCCAAATTTGTTCTCTATGCTATAACCGGAGTTATTACTATCTTTCTAATATATAAATTTTATCATGGCATTAATTGATTTAATCTTCAATGATTTTTTATACTGCACTGTTGACGATGGAGGACAAGTTTTATCAGTTTAGCATCATGCATCTTGACACAATGCTACATCCATTCCATGTACCTTATATGTCAAACACATAGAAAAACATTTATTTTGAAAAAAAGATACACATTTTTAAAATATGTACTTTAATATGATGAATGTTTGCATCTTTGGCTTAAAAAAAAGCCACAGAGAGAAATAGGGATGATACGTGGAAAAATGATTATCTCTATTTACTCTTATTTCTGTCTGGAAAGCTCTATGCCACAGATGTTATTTGGAAAACATCTTGTCATTTTTCAAGAACGAATTCAAATGTCCTTGCCCTCTATAAAGTTTTACCTTCCACCTTAAAACAGAGGTAAAAATTTCCTTCACTTTCCTAGCTTTTTTGGTACTTGTGTAATAACCATTTTAAAAGTGTTTTATAATTTATTTGCTTACACATTTGTTTTCAAAACTACTTTCAAAGAACACAATTCAGGGTTCGGATCTTCCTGGTTAGTTCTTTTGTTTTGGAATTTAACAACTACTGGAACATAGTTACGGGTCATTAAATGATTAATGAATGAACAATGTAAACGGAATGAAAAGAGAACAGAATTTTGCAATTACTGTAAGAAGTAAAAGATAGTAGAAAAACTGGTTTTCTAGGACAATTTTCATGTGAGGCTCTTCTTCACAAAACATGATATAAAGGGTTTCAGGAAGTTTTGTGTAATAGAGATGCTGTGAATTCTTAAAAATTAGGAAAAATGCCAAGAACATAGTTTGAGATGTTTTATATCTTATAAACCAAGTTGCTTGAGCACTTCAGATGAGAAGAAAGGCTAGTCTTATTTTGGCTATTTCATTAAACAAAAAGGGAATAACATTTTTGATTCCAGTTTTCACAGTAGGAATTGAGTGAACAAATCCCTGAAGAAAATTATAAAACACGTATATAATACAATAAGCAACTATCTGAAGGTACGAGAGGGTGAATAGAAGTAGGCAGGTTCTATAGCAGAGTTTTTGCTTACCTGTAGAAGGGTAGGTAGGCAGAGTAAATTACTGTCACTGTGGGCTTTGGACTACGTCTAAGGACAGTACAAGCAGTGCTCACAGTTGTGACAGGGACACACATGAAAAAAAGGTGTTTTTTTTTTTTTTATGTAAGGAGTTGTAAAAGTGAAGTAAGGAAACCAGGATTTGTTAAAAAGAATGGGGAAATGTTTAAAAGGGAAAGAGCCAAAGGGGGGGCTCTCAAAACTTTACCTTCTCACATGCCCAACTAATACCTTAAGCACACGTGCAGAAAAGACTCAAGACAACTCTTGTAATGACAAATGTATGAAATAATATAGGAGCTACCGCCCAAGTAAAAAAAGGTTTGCAGTTCAATCCTACCAAAACAAACAAACAAAAAATTCTACTATAACAAGAGAAACAACACTTAGAGAAAAATGATGAAATTTAGAATCTCTAAAATTTAACTTTTATAATAGCTATAATATAATGCCAAAATTACTAACATGCAAAAATCCAAGAACACATAGCATAGGTTCAAGAGAAAGGAAAATCAAGAGTTTCGACCCTAAAATAACCATGTGTTTAGAACTAACAGAAAAAAATTCTAAAAGTGGCTATTATAACTATCATCAAAGAAAAAAATAAAAATAGTTTGTATAGATTATCTTACATGTATGTTTTACAAAATAGACAAAATAGGTTTTTAATATAAAAAATTCTCAGCAGAGTAATAGGAAATCTCAGCGAGATAAGGAGAAAGACGTTCTAGAGCTAAAAAAAATACAATTTCTGAAATTTGAAAAAAAATCACTGGGTGGACTTAAGAGCTTAATGCACATGGCAGAGTAGAAAGAAAGTGAACTTTCAAGTATACCAACAGAGTTCACCCAAGGTGAAGAACAGAAAGAATAAATATTGAAAAGAAAAAAAACACTGATCTCAGGCAATTGTTAGATGTTATTCAAATGTCCAACATATATATAATTTTAGTAACAGAGTGGAGAAAGCATAGGGCAGAAAAAATTATATATGAACATATCATAAACTGGACTTTCCCAAATTTAATGAAACAAATTTGCAGACAGAAGTTAGTCAAACATGAAGTAGACTATACACAAAGGAATCATGCTGAGAAACATAAATTATTAAGAGTCAATTGCCTCTTGAAAGCTGCAAAAGACAATTGCCATATTACAAACATGGTAATAAAAATCCAATTAAGAGTTGTCTTTTTCACCAGAAACCCTGAAAGACAGAAGAAAATGAACACACATTTAAAGTGCATCCCAGCCTGGGCAACATGGCAATACCCATATCCACTAAAAATATAAAAAATTAGCTGGTGTGGTGGCACATGCCTTTAGTCCCAGCTGCTAAGGAGGCTGAGATGGGAAACTCACCTGAACCCAAGAGGTCAAGGCTTCAGTGAGCCAAGATCAAGCCACTGCACTCCAGCCTGAGCGAGTGGAGTGAGCTCCTGTCTCAAAAAAAATAAAGTGCGTAATTTTTTTAAAGTCAACCTCAAATTCTATACAGAATAAATATCTTTCCGTAACCAAGAAGTGATAGAGATATTTTAAACTAAGCTAAAGGCATTTATCTCTAAACGGACCTGCATTACAAGAAAGTCAAAAAGAAGTTCTTCGAGCTAAAGGAAAATTGTGCCAGGTCAACAGTCATACATATATTCAGTAAAGAAAGACTAGCATTGTAAATGCTAATTATCTAGTAAATGCAAAATACTATTTTCCCTTGTTCTTATTTTATCTCAATTTCTTTAAAAACATGATTGTATAAAACAAGAATATAACATCATCTTACAGGATTTATAATGATTGTATGTGTGATACATTTAAGAATTATAACAAAGAATGAGCAAGATTTTAATGTTTTCATATATATTCTCATGAAATATTGCATTAACTATAATTGAACTATAAAAAATCAAGGATGTAAATCATAATATCTAGGGCAACCAAGTAGTATATAAAAAATAAAGTGGCAGACTTAAACCAACCATGTGGATAATTGCATTAGACATTAACAAATGAGACAGCCTGATTAAAAGGCAGAAATTGTCAGAATATTGAAAACAAAACAAAACCAAACAAACAAAAAAAAACACCCACTGTACTGTGGGAAAATAAATCTTTCCTGGATTTTAGTTTTGTAGTTGTTCTGTAAAACCACAGCCTCTGGAGCTATGGAATCTAATATATTATAATACATTATAATATACTATAAAGTTAGAGTATAGCTCTCACTTTTCTCAAGAACATTTTCTTACACCATAAAAGTTAGATCGCAGCCATTTGTTTCCCCAAGGGAGCCAATTGTTCAGATTTAAAAAGATAATACAAGTTTCTTTTATGTTCCCAAGAGCCAATCAATTATATTGTAGGTGTTATATAACAATAACATTAATATCAAAGGTGGGCAAATAGTCCTCGAGGAAAGCTGGAGAGTTTTCTTCCCAGGTGTTTACATTAAAAAAAAAAAAAAATGCAACCCAGACTCTTGAAGATTTGAAGCTGAAGACAAAGGCCTTATCTGACTCCCAAGGAAATGTATTTTTATGACGAAGGTAAAATTAAGGATTCTTCCCATTGTTTCTCCAAAAAGACTCCCTTAAAGGAATCGGGGAAAGTGAATAGTCTCTGCCATTTATAAGCACTGAAAACATTTTTTTTTCTCCTGTATCCCTTACCTATTGAGTGAAAGCTGGTGTTTCCTTAAGATATTTCTACATGTGACTCTCACCACATCACTCTATGTTGATGCTGGCTGGGAGGAGCGGGGGTGAGGAGCAGCACTGAAATGTTACCACAGTTGTTCATTTTGCTGTGAGGATAAATAATATTAAGTTCTTTTTCTCAAACCCAGCCATGTAGTGGCCATCTATCTATAAATATTTGTGCATGATGTGTAACATTTCAAACCCTTCACAGTTCATAGCAACATATATATTTACATTGTTAGAATATATATAGTATCTACAAAAATGCATTTTACATGTAAAGACCTATGTAGGTCTATTTGAAAGACTGAAAGTAAATAGAAGGAGAAAGATATACCTTAAAAACGGTGAACATAAAATGTCTGAAGTGGCTATATTAATATTTTAAAAAGCCAATTTCAAAAGAAATGTGTTACCAGAGTTATATAAGGACGCTTCATGATTATACTAGGATCGATGCATCAGGAAAACATAACAGATAAACAAGAGTGTCGGTTTCAAATATTAGCTTTAATGCTCACGTAGGTATGCCTTTTGTAGGCTGATGTAACATTGTTGAACATCAGTTTTCTAATGTGTAAAATAGTGATAACAACAGAACAAAGTTATTTTGAGAGGCAAATATAATTATGTATTTAAGACATCTGTTTTCTTCTTTTAAGGGCACTACGTGAAAAAGGAAGTAAAACAACCTCAGTGGTAATGTCACATTACATGAAATTAAAATAGCCTCAGTTACAAGTAAAGAAAAAATAAGGGTCATAGGAAGAAATTTTTATAATATATGTATTGTGTCTATTGAAAGGAAGTTATGTTAAAAGAAAGGAAATAAACCAAAAGTATACGTCTAGAGATCGTACTACCTTCAAGCCCAAGATTTTTTGAAGTCTTTTAATATTCTCATCTATCCATACTGCGTAAGAGTTTCTTTGTGTCTAATTTTTCTCCAATGAAAGGTCAATTCCAGAATTTACTGAGTAAGTAGCCCCATTTTCATGATTTTTCAGATCATAATGGTATTATGCTGCTGTATGGTCTGTAAGAACTAGCCTGCTAACACCTTTGTTGGTATTCCTAACTTCACTATCTTTCTCCATGGTCATCTATGAATCAACTTTTTCATCTTTTTTGCTTTCTTAGCTACTAGAGGAAACTGCTTTTTCCTTACATATGAGTAAAGATTTATGCTCTTCAATTAATCTCTCCAAAGATATAATTTTCCTGCTCTAGCAATAGCATGTAAATTAACCTCCAGTTACAGGTTCATGTTGTCTCCTCAAAGAGGAATCACATACTCATGACTTTTTCTCTGAATCTCTTCAGATTTAGGAAATTCAGAAGTACAGACATCATTCACGGAATAGGGATTCAAATCTCACCCCATCTCTCTTGCCCTTTATATAGTGCACCGCAGTGGTTTCACAGACAGGATTAGGTCAAGATTCAAAAATAATAAAATGTATGCAAATGTGACTATTTCCAACAAATAAACAGAAATGTAAAAATGTATAGTCATTTAAATTTTCTGTAAAATGCGTGGTCGAAGAAATACTTAAATAAAAATTAAATGAAAACCATAACGCATGTTTATGTTTCCTTTAGGAAAGGAAAACAAGGTTTTTCAGAAAAATAGTTTATGTGTGTACGTGTGTGTATATAATGATATAACCACTACATTATGATTATAGATTGTTTTATATAATTACAATTTTCACTTACTTATTCCTCAATATAATTTTGAAGTTACTGAAATGCAACATTATAAGAATGTAGTCAGTAGAAGACTGAAGAAATTGTTTCAGTAGAGGCAAAGCTGATTTCTAGCATATACATGGTTATTAAAATTGTTTGATTTTTGCATGTTTAGTAATTATTGTCTTTCATAAAATTCATACAAACCTGCATACTCATATATATCCTGTATGTGATTATTCAAAAGTTTTTTTCAAAACAATAGTTAAAAGGAAACATTTTATATCAACATGTGTAGTGTGCATGTTTTTTTAACCATGGAAAAACATGTATATCACACATGTGTGGAAAGACTAGTGGAAAGACTGAATTTTGTTTGCCTGCAGAAATATTTTCATGATTTCTTATTCTTTTTAGAACATCTCAGTCTTCCACAAAATTAGTATGTGATTTCATTAAATGTGGCATTGAAAGCTAAATATTTGTGTTTTCAGAAAATATATTATTTGAATCCACATATTTACAATGATAAAAGTGTATCATTCTGAAATTCTTAAAGGAAAATATAAAGAAAATATAACCTTGATAGGCTACATGATTAGGGTTTCATGCTGATAAATAAACGCATAATTTTTATAAGATTTTGTATTCGATACAAACTTTGAAGAGAGGTCACAATATTACACAAGATGAGGTCGTGATATGCATTTTAGGAGAGAAAGAAAGAAAAGAAACATGAAGTGAGTTGATAAGAAGTGAACTGGAACTGGGCATTTAAGAAACTTGTAGGTAAACCTGAAGATATTGAGTAAAACAGTTACTTCCAATTTTTTCCATGATGAGAAAAATTCTTACATTTTAAAAACTTTTCAACATCTGCATTTAGGATGAGTAAGAGAGACTTGAAGCAACAAAAAATATGTTAGCATTTACTCAAATTGTGGGCTTGATACTATGAGGTTTGCAATGAAGTTATTTAGAAATGGTATGTGAAAGATGTAAATTAAAATGTGTCAGTAATTGATATTTTATTAAATATAGTAAAGAAACAACATTCTAAACATTGAAGGACACATTATAAGACATTTTGTAAAATAATCTGTTTCTCCCACAAAGCATGAATTCATAAGTAACATTCAGAAAAGAATCGTTAACTATTTTTGCTTTAGAAAAACATTGGAAGTGATGATAGTGTAATCACTTCCAATGTTTAATACTTAAGCATCTTATTAACATAAACTCCTTTGAAAATTATCTACTTCACAAATAAAGTACTGTATTTATAATGTTCTATAATGCAACCTTGTTGTTAATTCTTAGGTATCACAACAGTTTGAGAAACACTGAACTTAGAGTCATGAACAACAAGATAAAAGAAACTGATACTTAAAATTTCTGGACATTCAAACATTTTTAATGACCAGTAAATCCCTAGCATGACTGGGAGTTTGTTAGGCCTGAAGAATTACCACCTGACTGCATTTCTATGTTAGCATTACATTTTCATAATCTCATTGTTAGGTAATAATTTTGATTCTGGGGGTGACTATTAATGCTATAGCATAGTAGCATAGTAGGAACAAGCTAGGTTATTAAGTGAGCAGGAAATTCAGTGGACTTATAATGCGTTTTTACTGCATAACATCATCTAAATACTTACTGGAAAAAAGATCTAATGGGATAAGATGAGTAGCCTAAAGAAGCAGTGAACTTTGTGGGTCACCTTTGTATTTGTTAAAAATCACTAATACAATGTTATTTGTGTATGGATATAGTAGTTTATTTAAATTGATATGTCACTTACAATACAAAATAAGTCAACAGCATGGGTCCCATCAGGATGTTAGGCAAAAATGGGAAGACTTGGCATTGACTATTAGAGTCTGGTGATCAGATAGTAATTTTTGAATGAAAAGGTCAGTGAAAGAACACTCTTAGGTCCAGAGAAAGGAAAAAGGAATAAAAAAGCTCTATTGGATGTTAGGTAAAATCAGTGGTTCTTAGCCCTGGCTATACATTAGAAATATGGTTCTTTAATAAGTACTGTGTCTTCTCACCAGATAATTTATTTCAATTGTTATAGCATAAGACTTATGCATGTATTTATTTTAACACCTCTGATCATTCTAATATGACACCACAGCTGAAAACTCATAGGTTAATGATTCTTGACCTTTAATGTGTATCTGAATTATCCATTGGACTTGTTAAGACATAACAATGCTTGACCCTCTCCCCAGTTACTGATTCAGTCAGCTAGGATGAGAGGCCAGAGATTTTGCTTTTCTAATAAGTTTCCAGGTGATGGTGATACTGCCAACCTCAAAGACCACACTCTGAGAACTACTGCCATATGTTAAAACAAGAAAAACAAAATAGATCCTTAATAAGTTAGGTGACCAGTGTTTAAACCACACACTTTTGTACAGTCATGTCATGTCACATCTGCAATTGAACAAATTTAAAGAAAACTAATTTATGAATGTTGTCACCTTTAAATAATTATATCCTAATAAAACAATTAAGACCAATGAAATTAATAGCATTTGTTAAACTATATCTTTGTAACACAATAATGAGCTTTAATTTTCATAATCTTATTAAAGGAAAATAGATGTTTTCCCTGAAAAGCTGTCATGATATGCCAGCAGAGTTTTAAAATTCAGCATTTTAACTTAATTTTTATTTCTCTGTGTGAAATTATCAAGCCTGAACTGAAATTCATTCCTGTTAAACTTTCCCCAAAAATTTAAAGTTTAAAAAATACTTTTATTTATCATTATATTTTATACATAAATTAGGACATTGAAGTATATTTAATTAAAGGAAATTAAATTTCTGTATAAATATTTGCCTATTGTTTATAGCTACATAAAAAAAGTAGAAAGAGCCATGATATTCTTCAGCCTCTTTGACTTTAAAAAAATGAAATGAATACTGGGTTTGTCTATTTTTTGTACTACAATAAAATTGCTAATTGCTTTTAGAATATTGTCACTTAAAAAATTAGCATCGAATAAATATGACAATGCATAATGCTGTGTTAAAAATGAGTGATATGCTTCAGGAGATATAAATTAATATTAATGTAAGTCATTTTGCTTTTAAATGGTTGAAATGCAAGCTACACATATTTTCTCAAAGTCATTAAAGGTATAGAATAGAAATCAAATATCTTCAAAAATCTTACAAGTGCTATTTGCTTAAGTCTAATTGTACTGCTATGTTTCAAAGATAGTTTTTTCTATGCCTCACAAAGTAATTTGCTCTTATAAACACAATAAAATATAATTAATTTTTCTTTTGACTTTTGAAAGAAAACATGTTTCATGTCAGTGGGAAAATAGCAGGTATGTGAATAATGATGTGGTATACTCCTAGATAAAACAGTTGATTATCTGGTAAATTGTTTCAAGTTCATAAGAATTTCACAGCACAATGTGTCTGGGAGACCTGGAGGATTTATGTTAGTGCATGATTTTGGATAGCGAGCACTAATGCTAATAGGGTAACATACAGTATTGTCTGGGGAATGTCAGCACCAGGCTGTAAATGAAAAGCTGACCATAAATGCCAAGTGGATAACTAGGGACTGCAATATAGCAAAAAAATAAGGTCATTACCCAATCTGATACTTATACCAATAGCAAGGTCAAGATGAACTGTGACTCCAAGTCAGAAAGCAGACAAGGTACTCTGCAATTTGGTCCAGGACAGTGTAATTTAGAGATCTCTCATCAACTCACAAACCAAGAAGTAAGTACATAAAGGTCAAACAGAACACAATGAATAAATGCTATTTATTATCTGAGGTAGTTTACTGCTTTAGATTTGGCTGTTTCTTTCTTAATATTGTATGTAAACAAAATTCATGTTTTTAAGTGGAGTAATGAAAATGAAAACAAATAATACGTCATATGGCCTGTTGATAAATTTAGAATGAAAAGCTGAGTAATGAAGAAGGACCACTTTATTTTTAAATACTTTTTCTAAAAGTTAATTTGCTCTTTCATCTATTTGCTTTGCATTCACTTACAAGGTACCAACTATATTATCAGGCACACAGTGGTTTGTAATTTGTAGTGGCTCATTAACTAATTTAAAAACTTCAAATGTTTTCAATATTATATTGCCTCGTTCCTCAGCCTTCAAACTAAGGCTTACTTGAACGGTTCTCAAATTCTTAGGAAATTAAGCTATTAAGTTCTCAGGTAAATAAATGCTTGCCACTTCCCCAGAATCATTCCTTTTGACATGTAATTTTAATTATTGACTTCTCAGATACAAAATTTTATTTATTCTTACCATCCCAATGATTCTTGAATCCCAACTCCTGCATTTCTGACTAATATTTATTACTCAAGTGTGAATATTTTGAGAGAGGAATAATTCAGTACTTCCCAAAGGTATCTCATTTCATCTTTGAATATTGGAGTGAATATCTATTGTCATATTAATTTCATCTTTTTATTCTACCTTTCTAATCACATTCCTTGAGTGATTAAAAACAAGACCAATTAATACTTCCTCTTGTCAGCTTTCATGTATCTTAAGATTCCTATGATATACCTTGGGTCTCTATTCTATTTTTTTTTTTGGAGCTTTTATAGAGGCAGTTTTGATTTGGTAAAACAAACGAAGTCAGCAATAGACTTTTCCAATTCTGTTTCTGAACAACCATATGACCTTGGGCAAGTCATTTGACAACAGGTTCCTTTTATATTAAAACAAAACAAAACAAAATATAACAAAGTCTCTCAAGCCTTGTACTATAGAATATTTTCTTTTCTGTTTAGACAGCAACATAATTTTGTTCCTTTTTTTGTTACCTTTAGCAATTTTTCCAAACATCTTTGTTATCATTGAAATCATATTATTTGATGTGATACTCAATTATAGCAATATGTGGCACAGATTCCTTGACTTTCTTTTTTATTCTTTGAATGTCATTTTAAAATGTGCATTCATCTTAGAATGCCTTATGACTCTTTTTTTGTTCTTCATTAAAAAAACTTCTGATTAAAATTGTCAGGTATTCTTTTTCAGACTTAACAAAAAGCTTGTACCTTTATTCTTTTATTTATTAAGGACAAAAACCTGACCATTAGCTTGAAGTGATCTATGATGTTGTACCAAGAAATCCTAACATTTTTAATGCCTATTTTTCAGAATGCTGTTATAATATTATTTGCATCATATCTGGTAATCGTGAACTGTCCGCACAAAAGGTCATAGGGTTACTTTTTTCTTAGGTGCCCTTCATCTCTGGTTCATTGTAAATAGTTCTTAATTGGTAACAATTAAATCTAAAGTATCTTCTCTATATCAACTGGGAGAAGGCTTATCAAGAATATTCAATCTAGTTTTTATGTAAATGAGAATTCCAACAGATAATTGGATAATCACATGTCATTGTCACTACATCTTACTTTGTCAGTCTTTTCATCTTTGCCATGAAGTGTTGATCAATTTGTTCCAGTTTTGTTCTTGAAACCTATATCATCTCTTGTCTTTTGCCTTTGATAAAATAAGTTATTGAGAATTACCAAACCCTCTGATTTGCAGCAGTCCGGAGATATGTTGGTGTACAATATTTTTATGTTTTGTAATAAAAACACATTTCAATTAATGTAGTAGAAAGTATACTCTATTTCATGCCCATCCCACATACTTAAACATATTTCAAAATACTTATAATCTCACATTTAATATGAGTATTTCCCATTACCCTGGAAATTCCATCAGTTATATTAGCTGAATCTACTGTTTTGAGTCAAAATTCTTTATTTTGCAGTGTTCATCCCCATGTTGTTTAACCCCAATACTGTGCCATTCATCTACTTTTTTAGGTACTTAGTATTTCTTTAGCAAAGTTTATCTTAATGTACTACCTCTTTCTTTTTAATTATTCTTCTCTCTATTTGAAACAGCAATACAAATATGTGCCAGATATTAGAGAATATGATTTTCTTACTCCCTGCTGTTTATCAAAGAATGAATCTCAATATGTAATCTTGATGACATTTTTATTTTATTCATAAATGTAGATGGCAAAATATCCATTGCCACTAGAACACCTTTTAAGATGACACTCTCTTTATTATTTTCGTAGGCATTTGATCTATTCAAAGCATTTATTGTATATTCATAAAGCACTAAGACCTATGCCACATATAATTTATAAATATAGATTATTTAAGGTGTTTGAATTTGGTGAACACATACTTTTCTCTCACATTTAACTACAGATAGGTGTGTGTGTGTTTATGTATATATATAGATATATATTCTTTACTGGTGTTGTATTTTATTTGAAATACATAATCTTCATTTCTTGTTTGGTCTATACAATATTTAGATTAAACATTTACATTGCAAATGGCTTAGCTTGATGGTGTTTCTGCAAATACAAAGAAATAAATATGTACTCTGCTATTCTTTGCATATATGAAAAAATTGTTATTATTTTTTTAAACTTTATAATTTCCTTACAGATTTCAATTTTAGCTTCCTTTTGTTTATAGGAATTTTGCCTTTAGCTCTTCCTCCACTTAAAAAGAAAGAACTGAATAGAAGTATAAATAATGTTTCATCACTCTTCAGCCTAAGGGGTGAAATGATATGGATGAAATTAAAATTTATTTGTAATGTTGTAAACACCATTTAGTTGCTGTTCTACCAGAGTCTAATTACTACATAAGAAAAAGCTGTTCAGAATCCTAAAAATGTATTTGGCTTCTTGGGAGTTGTATTCATAACTTGTCAAAACTGGCATTTAGCTTCCATTTATAGTATCTCTTCTGGTCCAAAAGATAAGCCAATTTACTGCTGGTACATATTGTCATTTATCCTCTACAACCAGAAAACATTCTGGCACTAAGAGCTTTACTAGACGAAATGGGAGTTAAGTTTCAGCTTGACTAGTTCAAAGCTTACACAAGTACTTTAAATCTTCTTTTATAAGTCATTCTTTCTCATATTAAGAGAAACAGGATCTCAGCTGGATTCATCTCAAGCACAGAATTTGCTTCTAAAACCCCGAGGCTATAGGAGTGACATCTCCAAAGTTACAAATATCTGTGCGCTAACCCTTTTACTCAAAGAAAATGCATTTACTGATTCCAATATATTCTTTTTATTTCTCTAAACAGAGGCAATTCTATCCAGTTATATATCCTGACTACTGCAATGGAAAAGAAAAGCATTCTTATATTGCGCCTCTTCCTTAGAATCTTTTTTCATTTCCTTTTATCTGCATTTTACAAAAGAGTGTTACCTCCGAGATAACTGTCCCTACATATTGGTAGGACATTTTGAGATATGACGATCCTATTTAAAAGTGGAAATTAAAAACAAAAGCAAAAATACGTGCTTGTGTTAGTTAACATCACACAGAAACAACATAATATTTTACAGGGAAAATTTGTTAAGTATGAGCACAATGTAGTACAGCAGATTTCTAGAAATCATTCACCTTGTATAACGGAAATTTTTACCCAATGAACAACTCCCATTTTCCCTTCTACCCAGTATCTGATAATCACTATTGTACTTTGTTTTTTTTTTTATTTTATTTTAGGTACTTCCTATTAGTAGAATCATACAACATGAGTCTTTTGTGGCTGACTTATTTTTGCTTAGCATAATGTCCTTCAGGTTTATCCATGTTGTTGCATGTAGCAAGACTTCCTTCTTCTTCAAGACTGAATAATCGTACATATGTACCACACTTGGTTTCACCATCCACCATCATTTTATCATCAATAGACATTTAGGTGGTTTCCCTATCTTGCTTATTGTAAATAATACTGAAATGAACATGAGAGCACAGCTATTTCATCGAGTCCTGATTTCAATTATTTTGGATGGATACTCAGAAGTGAGATTTCTGAATCATGTGGTAGTACTGTTTTTACCATTTTGAGAGGAATTTTGCATACTGTTTTCCATAGTGACTACACAATTTTACATACCTACCAACAGTATATGAAGATTCCAATTTCACTACATCCTCACCAATACTTGTTATCTTGTGTTTTTTGATCATAGCCATCCTAACAGCTGTCGATTAATTACTCATAGTGGTTTTGATTTCCATTTCCCTGATGATTCGTGAGGTTGAGCATTTTTTCATATACCTGTTGGCCATCAGTATTTCTTCTTTGGAGAAGTGTTTATTCAGATTCTTTGCCAATTTATAAATCAGATTATTTGGGATTTTGTTTTTGAATTGTAGGAGTACCTTATATATTTTGTATATTAACCCTTTATCAGATATGGGCTTTGCAAATATTTTTCCCATTCCATTGTCTTTTCATGCTGTTGATCATTTCCTTTTCTATGTAGAAGATTTTTACTTTGATGTAGTCATAATTCTTTATATTTGCTATTGTTTTGGCTGTTCTTTTGGCATCATATCCAAGAAATGTTGATAGGGCCAATGTCAAGAGCTTTTCCTCATAATTTTTTTCTAAGAGTTTTAAAGTTTCAAGAACTTACACTGAAGTTTTTCACCCAATTTGAGTTGATTTTGGTGTAGGGTGTAAGATAAGGGTCCAATTTCATTATTTTGCATGTAAATATCCAGTTTCTCAATAGCATTTGTTGAAGAAAACATTTCACTCCTCATTGTATATTCTTGGCATAGTTGTTAAAGTACAATTGACCAAATATGCATGAGTTTATTTCCAGGCTGTCTATTCTGTTTGATTACTCTATATGTCTATTTTTATGCTAACACAACACTACCAAAAATTACTTTAATTGTCATAGCTTTGTAATATCTGAATTCTGAAAGTATGATGTCTCCAGCTTATTCTTTTTCAACATTGTTTCATCTATGAGGGTTCTTTTGTGGTATCATACAAATTTCACAATTTTTTTTTCTATTTCTGTAAAAAGTGACAGTGGGATTTTGACAGGGATTTCACTGAATCTGTAGATCACTTTGTGATTGTGGACATTTTTACAATATTAATTCTTCTAAACCATGAAATCAGCATGTCTTTCCATGTATTTATGTCTTTTAAAATTTCTTTCATCATATTTTTTAGTTTTAGTGTACAAGTCTTTAACCTCCATGGTTAAGTTTATTCCTAAGAATTTTATTATTTTAATGTTATTATAAATTATGTCTTTAATTTCATTATTAGTTTGTTGTTTATATATAAAAACACAACTGATTTTAAGTATATATGTAATTTATACTTACCATTTAAAAAACTAAATTTTTAAAAGCCATGATTTTCATTTGTTGATTATGTATACTGAAATTTTACCAAATTTGTTTATCATTTCTCACAGATTTTTGGGGGATCATTAGGGTTTTCTACATATGAGACCCTGTCATCTCCAAACAGATAAACGTTTAATTCTTCCTTTCTGATTTGGATGGCATTTATTTTATTTTCTTGTCTAATTGTTCTGGCTAGAACATTTAGTACTATGTTGAATGGAAGTTGTGAGAGTGCGATTCTCACCCTGTTTCTGATCATAGAGGAAAAGTTTTCCGTTTTTTGCCCTTGAATATTATGTTAGCCATGAGCTTTTCATATATAGTCTTTATCATGTTGACTTAAATTCCGTCTATGCATAGTTTTTGAGAAATTTTACCATGAGAGCATGCTGAATTTAGTCAAATGCTTTTCCTGCATCTAATGAAATGATCATGTGATGTTTATCCTTCATTCTGTTAACGAAAAGAATTAATGTTAATTATTCTTTGTCTGGTAGAGTTCACCAGTGAAGCTATCTGGTACTGGGCTCTTCTTCATTAGAAAGATAAAGATATACTTTATTGATAAGTAAAATTTGTGTATATTCATTGTGCCCAACATGATGCTTTAATGTATTTATATATAATGGTAGAATGGCTAAATCACATTATTGAAGATACACATTACCTCATGTACTTAACTTTTTTTTTTTTCTGGTGACAACTTTTAAACTCTCTTAGCAACTTTCAACATTTAAATTATCTTAGCAACTTTCAATCATACAATATATGGATATTAACTGCAGTCACCATGATGTATAATAGATGTCTTGAAATTATTATTCTTGTCTAACTGAAATTTTGTGTCCTTTGACTAATATCTCCCAGTCCCCCAATACTACGGCCTCTGGTACCACCCTTTTACTGTTTACTTCTGCAGGTTTGGCTTTTTAAGAAATTTTTGATTACTGATTGAATCTTTTTCTTCGTTATTGGCCTAATCAGGCTATCTCTTTTTTCACGATAAGTCTTAGTAGGTTGTATGTTTCTAGGAATTTATACATTTCTTTTAGGTTATCCAATCTTTTGGTGAGGAATTGCCAATAGTAGTCTCATTTAATTATTTTTATTTCTGTAGCATCAGTTGTAATATCTCCTATTTTTTTTATTTTGAGTAGTCTCTCTTCTTAGTTCATGTACCTAGAGCTTTGTCAATTTTATCTTTTCAGAAAACCAACTCTTTACTTTGTTGACATTTTTTCTTGTTTCTCTAGGCTATTTATCTTCAAATCTTATTTCTTTCCTTCTGCTAATTTTGTGCTTAATTTGTTATTCCTTTTCCAGCTTCTTGAGGTATAGAGTTAATTGTTTAAGATCTTTCTTCTTTTATAGTGTAGGCTTTTATAACTATAAACTTCCCTCAATATTGCTTTTGCTGCATGCCTTAAGTTTTTCTGTTGGTTTAATTTTTTTAAGAAAAAAATCTATTTTGAGATAGTTTCTAATTTCTATTTTGATTTCTTTTTTGACCATTGTAGGTTCAAGATTGTATCATTTACTTACCTTTTCTTTTTAATTTTTCAGTTTGTCTTCTGTTATTCTCAGTTTCATTTCTTTGTGGTTGGAAATAATACTTGGTAAGACTTCAATCTTCTTAAATTTACTAAGACTTGTATTGTGGCCTCAATTGTGATCTGTTCCAAAGATTATTCTGTGCATGTTTAAAAACAATGTTTATCCTGCTGCTATTGTATGGAATCTTTCATATGTGTCTGTTAGGTCCCGTTGGTCTATAGTATTGTTTTAGTCCTCGGTTTGCTTTTTTTTTTTTTTTTTTTCGTTAAGATATCCCATTCATTATTGAAGTGGAGTATTAAAATCTCCTGCTGTGATTTTTTTCTGTCTGTTTCTCCCTTCATATAAGTCATGTTTGCTTTATGTATATATTTAGGTGCTCTGATGTTGGGTGCCTATATATTTGTAATTGTTTTATCTTCCTGATGAATTGACCAGTTATCATTATATAATCTTCTTTGTTTCCTGTGAAAGTTATTACTTATTATGTTCAATATGATGTTTTCAAACATGTATACATTCTGAACTAACTAAATAAAACTTATCAACATATTTTTGTAACACCTTTTTACTTAAATATATTTTGTCTCATGCAAGTATAGCTAACCTGCTCTCTATGGTTTGCAGTTTGCATGGGATATCTTTCTCCATCTCTTGACTTTTAGCCTGTGTTAGTCCTTAAAGCTAAGGTGGGTTTCTTATAGACAGCATAAAGTTAGATCTTTATTTTTAAAAATCTATTCAGGCACTCTATGTATTTCAATTGTGAAGTTTAATTCATTTATATTCAAAGTAATTATTGTAAGTGAGGACTTTTAATTAAAATTTTAAAAACTTATATTCTATCTATTTTATAGGTATTTTGTCCCTATTTCCTTCCCTTGCCATCTTCTTGTGGAATTATATTTGTTTTTTAGTGACATACTCTGATATATTTTATTTGTGTATATTTAGGGATATATTCTTCATGGTTACCATGAGGCATGCTTGTCTTACAGCAGTCTATTTTAAGCTGATGGCAACTTAAATTCAAACAGTATAAAATTTCTACACTTTTACCTCCATGCATGTACTTTATCTTATTGATTTCACAGTTTACCTATTTTATATTGTGTATACATTAACATATTTTTGTGGTTATGCTTAGTACTTTTGTCTTTTAACTTTTATATTAGAATTATCTACTATCATTATGGTATTACAGTATTCTTGTTTTTTCTATGTATTTACATTTACTCATTAAGTTTTATACTTTCATTTTGCTGTTTAGTATTCTTTCAGAATTCCTTTTAGCATTTCTTGTAAGGCAGGCCTGCTATTGATGACCTCTCTCAGGGTTTTTCTGGGAAAGTGTTTTATTCCTCCTTCATTTATGAAGAACAGGTTTACTGGGGATAATATTCATGGTAGGTGTTTTATTTGCTTTCAGCACTTTGAGTATGTCCTTTTACTCCATTCTTGCCTGAAAGGTTTCTGCTGAGAAACCAACTGATAGTTTTATGAGGGTTGCTTGTATGTGATGTCACTTTTCTCTTATTAATTTTAAAATTATCTTTGGTATTGACTTCTGATAATTTGATGATAATGCATCAATGTATTAGGGGGTTTGTAAATCTGAATGTCATTTGCTTCCAAAACTTTGGGAAGTTGTTGGTTATTATTTCTTTAGATAAGCTTTCTGCCTTTTTCTCTTTTTATTCTCCTTCTTTGACTCCCACAATGTGTATATTGGTTCACTTGATGGTTTCTCAAAAGAACCTTAGGCTTTCTTCACTCTTTTTCATTCTTTTTGTGACTTGTGACTGCACAATTGCAAATGACCTGTGTTAGATCTTCCTGCGCTGTAAGTAGTCAATTCAGTCAGAAAGATAATTAGATACGTGCTTGGATATAAAACACAAAATGTGCAGGATAAAGATGACTATATGCTATCACGGCAACTAAAAAACTATGCCTGGCTGCATTTCAAAAGTGTAATTATTTGATATCTAATTAAAGAGCTAAACAGTTATCAGAAGATAAGATTCAATGAAATTAGTGAAATGAAAACATTGGCAGTAAGATGATTGTTATATTATTAAAATAGTGTGTTGCATGACTTTTTGCATTTGCAATTGCATAGTCATATACTTCTATGATAATTCATGTTATAACACATTTGATTTTCAGGCGCTGGTAAATATATGAGTAGTTATTACTTTTTGTCACAGAAATCATAATGTTAGGAATGCCTGAGAAATAAAGCAAGACAATTCTAACTTTCTGAGAATTTCATTGTTAGACCACTTCTACAACTTTTCTGTTTTAATAGTATGAATCTTTGCAACTTTGTTAAGTACTAAAAATTTTACATGAATTCAAGACTGACTGGATTGAATATAGCTTTATTCATTTTCGTTCTTGAGTTTCTATGTTTCATGAAAGAACCAAAAATTATCTTTTATTTTTCTGGTAATTGTATTTTTATATTCTAATGTACATCTTCTTACACAGATTGGGTCAAATAATTCACAAAAATATAAATTAAAAGCTATAATAAATACTATTTTCAATATTAAAAGTTATATTAACCTAATTTTCAGATTTCAACCCAAGCTGGGGTCCGAGGGAAGTCAGTAGATGGGTGGCGGGTAGCTGAAAAACACTCGAGGGACCGTAGGCAGGTGGGATGTGGACTTATTCTTTCTCTCTCCTACAGAGTCAGCAGTGCAGTTATATTTTTCACAGACAACAGTGGCTCAAAGCCAGGTATGAGCTCACACAAACAGGTTACAACCGAATGGCTACATAAATGTAATTATGTAGTGCATGGGGTTGTGCGCCTCTGCTCCAAACCCGCTGTGTCGTGCTGTACTGGATGTCAGCCTTGGCCTACTCCAGACAGAAGCCACAGCCATTCCCCTTACACTAATCAAAATTATGAAGCAGATAAATACAATAAAAACTCAAACTACGTGAAGATTAACCTTAGCATTTTAACAAACCATAAAATTGATTTCATAATTACTATATTCAGCTCATTTGTTGTCAGATTATTTTTAATCGTAACAAAATACATGTATGAATTATCTAACTTCTTTTTATTATTAAGCAGTTATTTATTTATTTATTTATTTATTTATTTATTTCTTGAGATGTAGTCTCGCTCTCTCACCCAGTCTGGAGTGCAATGGAGTGATCTAAGCTCACTGTAACCTCTGCCCCGCAAATTCAAATGATTCTCCTGCCTCAGTCTCCTGAGTAGCTGGGATTACAGGTGCCTACCACCATGTCCAGCTAATCTGTTTTTTTTTTTTTTTTTTTTTTTTTAGGGGAGATGGGGTTTCACCATGTTGGCCAGGCTGGTCTCAAACTCCTGATCTCAGGTGATCCACCCACCTCGGCCTCCCAAAGTGCTAGGATTACAGGCTTAAGCCACCGTGCCTGGCAGTTTTTAAAATTTATAATACAAACTGAGAATTAAATTTCTCCTAATCCAGAATATGAACAAATATAATTTAACAATTAGTGTTTATTTCTTATACTCTAAAAAATGCATGTTTAATCATGTACAATTAATTTTAAAGGAAGAAAAAGGTACAGAATATTATACATGAAATATTAACTTCATGAAGGTTTTATTAATAACAAATAAATGTTATTGAATATTTACTGTGTTCTAGGCCCTATTAGAGCATTGCATTCTCAGACCTTATGACAGGTTAGTATTACTACCCCTAATTTATAGACCAGAAAATGACAGTGTAGGGATGTCAAAGTAATTGCTTTGACAATTACTTTGTCAATTACTTTGTCTATTACTTTGTCTATTACTTTGACAAGTAAATAGAATAAATGGATCTTTGGGACAGCAGCTTTGTGTTGTGGATCCCTGTACTATAATTTCTTTCAAATATTTTGGGATTTATGACACACTGGTAGAGACTGCATCAGCCGCTCCCATGACTTATCCTTTAACTTCTCTTCTGTTTCCATTCATTTAGGAAATATTAAATAAAAACATACTATATGCAAGGTACTCTGCTTTGCAATGTAGAGAATATAAAGTCAAATCCAGTATATTTCTAATCCACAAAGACCTTACTGTATTTGGTGAGTGTATTAGTCCATTTTCACACTGTTGTAAAGATGTACCCAAGACTGGGTAATTTATAAAGAAAAAAGTTTTAATTGACTCACAGTTCTGCATGGCAGGTGAGGCCTAAGGAAACATACAATTATGGTGGAAGGTGAATGGGAAGCAAGGCACCTTCTTCACAAGGTGGCAGAAAGAAGTGTAAGAAGGGGAAATGCCATATGCTTATAAAACCATCATATCTCATGAGACTCACTCATTATCATGACAATTGCAAGGGGTAAGCCACTCCCATGATCCAATTACTTTCACCTGGTCCTGCCCTTGACACCTGGGGATTATGGGTATTACAATTCAAGATGAGATCTTGGGTGGTGACACAGAGACAAAGCATATCATTCTGCCCCTGACCACTTCCAAATATCATGTCCTCATATTTCAAAACAGAATTATGGCCTTATGCCCTTCCAACTGTCCCCCAAAGTGTGTGTGTGTGTTTGTGTGTGTGTGTGTGTGTGTGTGTATTTATTTATATATATATATAATTTTTTTTTTTTTTTTTGCTTTCTTGCCCAGGCTAGAATGCAGTGGTGTGATCTCAGCTTTACTGCAACCTCTGCATCCCAGATTCAAGCAATTCCCCTCACTCAACCTACCCAGTAGCTGGGATTACAGGTGCATGCCACCATACCCGGCTAATTTTTGCATTTGTTTAGTAGAGATGGGGTTTTGTCATGTTGGCTGGGCTGATCTCAATCTCCTAACCTCAAGTGATTCTCCCGCCTTGGCCTCCCAAAGAAGTGCTGGAATTACAGGCATGAGCCACTATGCCTGGCCTCTGAAAGTCTTAGCTCATTGCAGCATTAACTCAAAAGTCAAAGTCCAAAGTCTTATTTGAGACAAGCAAAGTCCCTTCCACTTATGAACATGTAATATCAAAAGCAAGTTAGTTACTTCCTAGATACAATGGGGATACCAGCATCGGGTAAATACACCCATTCCAAATGGGAGAAATTGGCCAAAACAAAGGGGCTCCAGGCCTCAAGCAAGTTCAAAATCTAATAGGGCAGTCATTAAACCTTTAAGTTCCAAAACTATCTCCTTTGACCCCTTGTCTTACATCTAGGTCATGCTGATGCAAGAGGTGGGCTCCCACAGCCTTGGGCAGCTCCACTTCTGTGGCTTTGCAGGCACAGCACCCTCTCCTGGATGCTTTCATAGGCTGATGTTGAGTGTTTGCAGCTTTTTCAAGTGTAAGGTGCTAGTCATAGGTGGATCTACCATTCTGGGGTCTGGAGGATAATTGCCCTGTTGTCACAAGTCCACTAGGCAGTGCCACAGTGGGGACTCTGTGTGGGGGTTCCAATCCCACATTTCCCTTCTGCACTGCCCTAACAGAGGTTCTCCCTGAGGACCCTGGCCCTACAGCAAACTTCTGCCTGGACATCTAGGCATTTCCATTCATCCCCTGATATCTAGGTAGAGGTTCCCAAACCTCAGTTCTTGACTTCTGTGCACCCACAGGCTCGACAGCATGTGGAAACTGCCAAAGCCTGTGGCCTGCACCCTCTGAAGCAATGTCACGAGATGTACCTTGGCCCTTTTTTGCCATAGCTGGAGCTGAAGCAGCTGGGACTCAGGGCACCATGTCAGGAGGCTGCATAAAGAAGGGGGACTCTGGGCCTGGCCCATGAAACCATTTTTTCCTCCTAGCCCTCCAGACCTGTGATGGGAGGGGCTGCCATGAAGGTCTCTGACACACCCTGGAGACGTTACCCCATTGTCTTGGTGATTATCATTGGGCTCCTTATTACTTATGCAAATTTCTATAGCAGGCTTGAATTTCTCCCCAGAAAATGGGTTTTTCTTTTCTACCTCATGGTCAGGCTGCAAAATTTCTGAACTTTCATGCCCCGCTTCCTCTTGAATGCTTTGCTGCTTAGAAATTTCTTCTGCCAGATAACCTAGATCATCTCTCTCAAGTTTAAACTTCTACATGTCTCTAGGGCAGGGGCAAAATGCCATCAGGAACTTTGCTAAAGCATAGCATGAGTGACCTTTGATCTATTTTCCAGCAAGTTCCTCATCTCCATCTGAGACCACTTACGGATGAACTTGTGCATATCACTATCAGCATTTTGGTCAAAACCATTCAACAAGTTTCTAGGAAGTTCTAAACTTTCCCACATCTTCCTGTCTTCTTTTGACCCCTCCAAACTGTTCCAACCTCTTCCTATTGCCCAGTTCCAAAGTTGCTTCCACATTTCTGGGTATCTTTATAGCAGTACCCCACTCTCTGTGGTACCGATTTACTGTATTAGTCCATTCTCACACTGCTGTGAAGAAATACTTGAGACTGGGTAATTTACAAAGGAAAGAAGTTTAATTGACTCACAGCTCCAGATTAGTAGGAGACCTCAGGAAACTCACTAAAATAGCAGAGGACAAAGGAGAAGCAGACGCCTTCTTCACAGGACAGGAGTATGGAGTGAGTGCAAACAGGGAAGATGCCTGACTCTTATAAAACCATCAGATCTCACAAGACTCCCCCATAATCACGAGAACGGCATGGGGAAAACTGTCCTAATTATTCAGTTACCTCCACCTGGTCCAACCCTTAACACATGTGGATTATGGGGATGACAATTCAAAGTGAGATTTGTGTGGGGACACAGAGTCAAACCATATCATTGAGCTTAGACATGTGCATGGAATGATAGAATATGAAGAATGTGATCAGAAAATCACAAATGGAAGCCTATGAGAGGTCATTTATTATTCAAGCAAATATACATATTCCTTTTGGTGCCTAGTACTCACTTAATAGACATGAGGGGTTTAGTGTGTATTCTGGCCCATGGCTCAGATCTCTCCACTTCAGGACTACACCACTCATTCACTCAACTGCTATGAGTGTTGACATCTGATACCACTCAGCTGAGTCTTCCAATTAATATGAGGTGGGTGAAAGAGGAAGAGTGAAAAGAATGAGAAGAAGGAGCCAGTTAGGTAAGATGCACAGCTGTGTAGTATCATAAAGCCAATGTGTGGAACTAATTCAAGAAGTAAGGAATTGTTGACAATTTTGAATGCTGCACACAGGAAAACTAAGAAAAGATATTCAAATACCCATCGGATTTGGCAATAAGAGGGCACCAATGGCCTAAACAAAATAGTCATTTTGGTGGAATAATGGAAAATAAACCAAACCAAAGGTGATGAAGCTTTCAGGATGATCTGCAATAATGAAAAGGGAGAAATATGATACCTGTTAAAGTGAAATATGGGATCTAGTGTGTGAGAGGATGGAAAACACATTTCACATATCCATCCTTAAACATCCTAACCTGGATATTATGTTACCGCGTTAAAAAATAACACATATGGCTGGGTACGGTGGCTCATGCCTGTAATCCCAGCACTTTGGGAGGCCAAGGCAGGTGGATTATGAGGTCAAGAGATTGAGACTGTTCTGGCCAACATGGTGAAACCCCATATCTACTAAAAATACAAAAATTAGCTGGGTGTTGTGGGACGCACCTGTAGTCCCAGCTACTCAGGGGGCTGAGGCAGGAGAATCACTTGAACCTGGGAGGTGGAGGTGCAGTGAGCCGAGTTCGTGCCACTGCACTCCAGCCTGGCGACAGAGCAAGACTCCGTTAAAAAAAAAAAACCCACATATACATATTTACAAATGTTTATATACACACACACCACCACACACATATATATCTGTATTTATGTGTGTTTATGCTCATGTACATAATTGGAAATTTAACAAACAATAGATTTAAGGAAGACATAATGCAGACAGACCTTTTATTCATAATTCTGTGAACTAATTCCACTGACTCGTTTTACCAGTATCGCATAATCTAATTGCTCTTTCTATATAAATGATGTTTTCTTCAGTTTAAAACAATTCAATCCTTATTTCTCCTTTTAAGCTTTTGGAAATAATATCTCTGCTTCCATTCCCTTTTCATTCCCATTTGTATTTTCTGTTTTGCGTTTGTTTCCATATGTGATCTATGCTATACACATCCCCCCAAAAAGGAAAAAAGAAACCATGAAAGCCTAAAATTTTGACCAAACATATGCAGCAGTAGCATAGCTTAGAAGAAAGAAGCTGCTTTGGCTAAGATACAAATGTAAGCTGTAGTCTTCTTTTTTTTTTATTTAGTTTTTTTGAGATGGAGTCTCACTCTGACGCTTAGGCTGGAGTGCAATGGCACAATCTCGGCTCAATACAACCACAGCCTCATGGGTTCCAGCAATTCTCCTGCCTCAGCCTCTCAAATAGGTGGAATTATAGGCATGTGCCACTATGCCCAGCTAATTTTTGTATTTTTAGTAGATACGGGGTTTCACCATGTACTGTAGTCTTCTTTTTGCCATCATCTATTAATTTCAAACTATCATATTTAAAACTATAGAGGAAATGAGACAATAGAGAAGGATTTAAAAAAAAAAAAAAAGAGGAGAAGGTGAGGATACATTAAGCCAGGTACTCCAGAAGACAAAAAAATGTTTTTATAGACGTAGAGAAGGGAGAGATTAATTTTGGGAAGGGAAGGGAGAGAAATATAGAAGTGCAGTAATATTTGAGCTGGTCCTTGAAGGAAAGGATAACTATGCAAGTATAGAGTTGGAGAAAGAAGCAAGAGCAAAGGCAGACATAGCAAAAGAAAAATAAACTAAATGGTCCCATTTGACTAAACAAAAAGCTACGTAAAGGGAATAGAGAAAAGTGGACCTGGAAAGGCAGATGGATGAGACACTATGGAAAGCCTTGAACTTTGAGTTAAGATATCTGAGTTGTGTTCTGGAAGATTTTTTTTAAAAAAGTCATCAAACAATTTAGATCAAGGGAGGGAGATTAAGCTATGCTGTTACCTTGAATTTTTCTGGGCATATTTCAGTTATCCTATTTAATTTTTATACTTTCAGAAACTGGGAATTGCATTATTTCATTTTAAGCCACCTATTCAAGATCACACACAAAGCAAGTGATAAATCTTGTTCTGGCTGGCTTGAAGCACAGTGATGGTTCATTTCTGTAGCCCTTTCAGATTAGAAAATTCATGGGACTACAGATGTTCTTTCCACTGAAAGGAGGTTCAAATATGAAATCATAGGGAAAACCAAACAGAAAATTAAGTGAGAAAGAACACTGAGAAATAGAGATCCTTACTTCAGATCAATCACAAATGCTGTGAGATATGATTACTCTCTGATTGAATGTTGTCATAAAAGCAAGAAAGCTCTGGCTGAGCCTCACTAAAAGATTAATATTAAAGGTTTGAGATGTCTGGTGCCTCATTAACTTTCCAGTACTTCTTAGTTTTACTCTTCACCTTTGTCATGACTTCTGGCTTCACTCATCACTCATAATTTCTTATTTATAATTTTCTTCTGTTCACCAGTTGAGACATCTAATGACCTAGATTCCCAGACTAAAAATCAGTTTTTTTCTAAGATTTGATTCCAGTATTCTCAGAATTCTAACAATTCAATCAGTGGAGAACCCCCAGATGCTCTCCCTTAGGAATATAGCCTGAGATTTAGACAGCAGGATGAGGTGTTTCACTGTCCCAGCAACACACCCTCTTTCTTATTCCTCCACAATGATGCCCATGCTACTACACACTTCTTGCACATCCTCTTCTGTTTCAGCATGCTGTATGCTATAGTTTTTTCCAACTAAAACACTAACTTTATTTCAAGAATATTTTTAAACTTTCATAACACTCACTGAGATAGTGAGACATTTATCTACGTTCAATGTCATGAAATGCTGACAAAATTAAATTTGCATTTAAATTGTAGATGATTGTAGGGAAGTAAAAACCTGATACATTTCCAGGGGTATGAGGAATTTGATTTGGTTCCTTGTCTCTGACACTTAGAATAGGAAGGGCATACCATAGGATACACGACAGTGAAGAAGATGTTTTGACAAAATAAGCTCTAGGGCAGATATTATTTTTATTTTAAAAAGTAAAATGAATAAAATTTCACTACTGGTTTTACTTTCTTGGAGTAGCATTTACTGTTTCAGAAGAAAGCCCACATTTAAATTGGCAATTTGAGTGAAACAGATATTTAACAATCTAAAGATTACATGGATTCTAAGTATAGCTTTTCTCTAATATTTTCTACTGATTTTCTACTGTTCATCGTATTTGGGGAAAATGCAGTGTCAGAATCTTTATTCTTATATGTAAGTTCATAGTAAATTAATGGCAATTGTCATTAACAATAGTCTGGCTTTACAGTGAAAAAGAATGTTTTCAGAAGTTAACCAGGACTCTGTGTGCTGTCTTAGAGAACCTTTTGAGTGATTCTAAGGGAAAAGACCAGTATCAAATAGTGTTATTATTTCTTCTGCTGACATGCTAATTTGAACGTCGTTTGGGTTCAGCCCTGAATTAATCATGAGATACTGACTGACTCTTGCCAAAGATAAATGAAGTTTCAGAAATGAAAATATTTTTCAGCATATTTTATTTAAAAAATATATATATTCTAATATGTCTTTTAAAAATATTTCTGGTACATATGAACATTTATATCTGAGAAATATACATGTCAACCTATGGCTTAGAGTAATATAAAAATTTGGCAAATTATAAAATTATCACCTTCAGATTAATACTAGGAAAATCAAATATAGTATCATATATTATACAAATATAAAAAAGTATATTATGAAAGTGATTTTAATTAAAACTCTAATAGAAAGCATACTTAGAGACCAGTCTCAATAAAAGGAATATTTTTTTGGTTCAATGTTTACTCTCATTGATGAATTTCAGTGTTCAGACAGAAAATGAGTAAGATTAAAGTATTCTTAATAGGAGGAAATAAAGATAATGATTAGGAAAACAGGGTTGAAAAAGTAACAGTTATCAAAACAAAATAATATTCGAGGTATCAGTTATGTATTTTATTTTATCTGCTACAGACAAATCATTGAATATAAATCAATTTATCTAGGAAACAAAACAAATATGCTGTATTACATAGACTTTTGCTAACAATAATTCTAAATGTATCACAACTTCTACAGTCATGTAAAGAGTCATAATGTTGGATGCTACCTATAGATTTTTATATTATCAATTTACCTTTAGGAGATATAAATTCTAGGTTGTATAGCCAATTGAGAGAAAAATACACTGTTTAAATTTTTGATTAATTCACTGACTTATTTACCTTTATGAAGTAGTAAATCATAGAATACTGATTTCTTGGTTCTACTGAAGGACTTCTATTGAAGGACTCCCCACCCCACCCTTTTAAAGGTTCGTGAGTCTAATACTGAGAAAATGAATAAATGAATGCAATTATGTTTCCTGCTTCAGTGGAGCTGTCAAGTGGTGTCACCAACTTTGTTTTTTTCTCAGGAGGGAAACTACTCTAAACAATGTGATTTTTTTAAGATGGACAGTATATAAAATTTGGCAGAATATATTAACATTCTCCACTTGTAGTCTTGAAAGATAGTATAGTATTTCGCCTATCAATATGCCGCTTCTGAAACCCCATCTGCATTCTTTTATCTATCTGTTTACTTCTATAAAATGCCTCAAAGCAAATAAATTACAGTCCATTGCATGCATTTACTTAGATTAATAAATGTTTCTGTAATTAGTTATTTAATATGTTACTTAAGATTTCATATATCAGTGAAAAAATCATATATTTTAAAATTATGATATGATTAATATAATATATCAAAACAGGCTGATAGTAATGTAACAATGGGGGGAATAGCTTCAAGAACTCAGAAACTGTTTATTACATATATCCTTCATTATCAAAATAAACTTTTATGCACAGAGTGTAGGAAAAATGCAATGTAGAAGCAAGTTTCTGTTCATTTTCAATGCAATAATTTTGCCAGTGCCTTAATACTTAATTTCCCATTTGGACATATTCTGAGATTCTGTATTTGAAGTAGAGTATGTTATGATTTTTGCTAAAACAGCAACCTGAGATATCTGTAACTAAAATTACTGTTTTAACATATTTTTCCCTTTTAGTACTTACCTCATTGTCATGGAATAAATTGACCAATTTAGTTTTGTGCCTATTACAGAGGAGTAATAAGCAATAATATAAGTATTCATGGTTTTGTATTTTTAATATAGAAATGAACATGACTCATAAATAATTGGTTTATTTATGTGGACTATATCCATAACCTCCACCATTAGAGAGGTTGAGATATAAGGCCAAAATGGGTATGGCAATCAGGTGAATGGTAATCTCAGAAAGAATGATTTTATTATTAACTATGCTTGACTAGGTTAGATCATTTATGTTAGGAAAATAAATCTTGACATTTATATGGATAATTTTGTGGCTTACTTGTCAACCTTCCTGTGAGACATGGATCTGATGAAATTGTGATTGAGAATGAGAACTGTAATACATTATTAATGAACTCAGGGTAATTGTAAAGTTTTATGACTTAGAGATCAGTAGAAATTGGTTCCATGGACAGTTTGAGAAATTACTGAGAATACACCTTGCACCGACAGTGCTGATAGCTTAGCATCAGTCATGGTATTCCCACAGCCATGGCCTGTGACAGCCCTAATGATAGTCATTTTGTAGCATGACCATGCATTAGGATACATTTAGAAGAGCACAAAATGTCAAATTGAAGTAAAGGGTTTTCAGCAGTTCTTGTTACAAGAAGTCTTATTTTCCTAGATGTTCTTAAAATTGTGACCCATGTTTAGTAATCTCAAGATGAATAGAAAAATGTAGATTAAAAATCAATGAATCTCATTTTTTTAAATAACCAGTACTTTGGGCACTAAATTCATATTGCCAATCAAAAAGAAAACAATGTGAAAGTTTGTGCTGTCAAAATTCTCTTTAAGTGAAATTCATATCAATGAATTTATATTTCTCAGTTTTTTAGTGAACATAGTGTAGGATAAAATAAAATCTGTTTGTTGAATGATTTCTTTAAATAATATTGAGAAGTTTCAGTTCCAAATGATAGTATTTTATATAATAGAGCAAAGTATTTGTTGTAAATTTACAATAAAATATCAAATAATGGCCATTACAAGAATTAGACTAACAGAACAAGTAAGGGCATGAGTTTGGAAACAGAGGCTTGGAAGACTCTAGGCTCCAACATGTCCCTGTTTTGTTGCCTTAGGTTAGCTATGGGTCCCCACTAAGCTTGCTTTTGTCACCTTGGAAGTAGAAATCATAGTGATTTACTAGAAGGAATGTTAAAAGGGGCTACTGAGATATAGAAAATGGTCATTTCAGTATCTGACACATAATGATCACATATATTATTTTCATTTCAATAATATACTGTTGCTTAGAAAAAATATGTATTCACCATTTAAAACAGTCATGATAAAGCAAATTTGAAATTACCACATTATGCCTTGCTATTAGAATAAAAGTATTTGAAGATTACAGCTGTGAGGCCTGCTTTAAGAAATGTCTGTGGTTTGAGTAAGAGCATTTCTACCTGCTGAGACTGTAATGGGAATTATTTTTGTTTGTCTTTTGCTCTCCCCTGAAGAGATGTATTTTTAAACATAGATAAAGATACCAGGTTGTTCATCAAATTCAAATAACATAAGAGGGACTAAGGCATCAGTACATGTAAAAAGATGCAAAATTTAGTGCTTATGAAATATTAGAAAATATCATTGTTTTGAAATAGCACATTGTGTTTCTAGCCAATTTATTAAAAGGTTAGGAACTTAGCTAATAGTTTTCATTTTCATTTCTTTTTTTTTAAATTAACAAACAGCTGGAAAGAAACCACACTCATTTTGGTAAAAATCATATCTTGAGATTCCTCGAGACTAACAAACCCAAACAAATCAATTCAAAATTGCCTCTGATGCAGAGGCAATATAGTGTTTGAGCTGCCCATAGTGAGCCACAGTATATTGAGACAATGCCAAATGATGATATCTAATATCAGTAGATAAGTCCTAGATTCATTCTTTAGCCATGAAAGAGAAGATGTAAAAGTTGTATAATTTCAGTAAATGTATAGGAGTTAATCTTATCTGATAAAAATAGAATTGAGTAGGAAACCAAAATTGATGGAAATAAGCATTGGCTTAAAAAAGTCACATTAAGGACAACTTCAGCCAAACTCCTACATGGCCAGGAAAACAATTATGTTATTGTTACTACCTTTCTCTTTATCTTTCCAGATCATTCACACTGTACTCACAGTTGGCCAATTTTTCCTAATGGCAATAATACTACTCTGAGGACAACTTGTAACTCTGGGCGTGTTCTGTCGAGGGCTCCTTCCCTCACCCTGTTCTGAATGATGAATGTAGTGATGTTTTCTCAGCTCTCTTGGAGGGAACATGGATCTTGTAGTGGTCATTGGGAACAGAGTTTACAGACAGAGAGTTCTCCACCTGAAAATTTTTGCATTCCTCCTCTTCTTTGACTCTTCACTGGTTCCAATTCAAAAATCCTTTTCCTCTTTGCCATTCTGGGTTAATTAATGATAGTAATAAAAATGCACCATTATACCACACAAAAGAAAAATCTAAGATATTTTTCTCTCTGTTATTATCCCACTTCTGTCTTTCAAGCCCCATCAAATTTTCTGGTTGTTGAGAAACAATAAGGGAGGTTACATCATCAGAATTTCTGATTTTTGGGAAACAATAAGGGAGGTGGGGTAAGTGGGAAGCAGATGTGTATGAAGATAGAGAAAATATATGTAAATTAGAGTATATTGTCCTAAAACATATTCTTAGTAATACATGTAAAGTCAATGCAGATTTTGATTTTTTCTCAAGGCTATCCAATAAAAACATTACGCGAGCCACATATGCAATTCTAATTTGTTAAAGAGCTATATTAAAAATAAGTAAAGTTAATATGAATAATATGTTTAACAATATATAATATGTTATCACTATTAAAACAGTATTTAAATAATTATGCTTTTTTTCTAACTTAGTCTTTGAAATCTGACATGTATTTTATATTTACAGGGCATCTTAATTTGGATAACTTTTCATTGGAATTGATCTGTAATTACATTTCATGAAACTGAAGGTTGAAAATAGATATTTATATGTATCAAGTTGTCAACCATATTTAAAAGTTTTTAAATATCTCAAATGAATTAGTTTTTAAATTTAAATTAAAGTTAATTTAAATTAAAAATTCAGTTCCTCTTGCATCAACATTTCAAGTGTTCAACCATGTGTCTACTGATTACCATATTGAACACTGCATCTCTCAATGTTTCTATTAAATAAAATTCACTTTTTATAAGAAACCAGACTTCTTGATATCGAGATCAATTTCATGCACAATACTCTGTCAGCTTTAGTAATCAAATCAATTAATGTTTGTAATAGGCTATTCTTGCATTGCTATAAAGAAATACATGAGACTGAGCAATTTATAAAGAGAAGAGAATTAATTGTCTTACAGTTCTGCAGGCTGAACAGAAAACATGGTACCGGCATCTGCTTGGCTTCTGGGGAGGACGCATGAAGCTTTTGCTCATGGCAGGGGTGAAGCAGGAGCTTGCATGTCACATGGCAAAAGCAGGAACAAGAGGGAGTGGGAGGGGAGGTTCCACACATTAAAACAACCAGATCTCATGAGTACTCACTATTTCAAGGACAGCACCAAGTCATGAGGGATCTGCCTGCATGATCAAAACGCCTCCCACCAGGCCCCACCTCCAACATTGAGGATTACAATTCAACATGAGATTTGGGCAGGGACAAATAACCAAACTATTTTAATGTTCTTTATGCTTAGTTTTTACTGGCCGTGGAAAATGTACCTAAATTTGATTCCTCAATTATTTATTATCTATACCAATTACCTTGATTTGCATGCATTATTGTAGCCAACATGATTATTGCTTTGGAGTTTTTACCCAGTCTACATTTGGAACTTCATTCACATACATATGAATACCTTCAGTGGCTTAGGTTAATTTAAATATCAGATACTGGTCACACTCCTTTGACCTTTACTTTTTTTTAAAGGAATAATTTAAAAAGCATTTTTCTTCTTGGCAATCTTGCTTTGTTACTGCAGTTCCTATTTTGCTATTGTGTTCTAAAACTTCCTCAATTGACAATTGAACTGCAGGGCATAGATTAAGAAAAATAGTTTAACAAATAAATCATTATTTAATTTCTACTGTAATATTTCTGATCATACTTAATGTCTCAAATTTGAAATTTGTTTACCATAAATAATGAAATAATAGTTGACATAAAATTCTAAACCTGACTGCAAACATAAAGTGCATGCTGGCATATAAATATGTGAGACTACTAGAATACAATAGGCTGTTTAGATTCCACAAATTAAGCAATCATCTTACAATAACACACCACACAAGACAACCACTGGGCTGCACAAAATAGAAAAGAGGAAATCAATTATGGTTCAATAATGCTACTTTCCCAATCAGTTAGAAATTAACAAAAGTACCTTGTTTACAGGAATTCTGATGGCATAATTTTCTGACAGCTTTTCATCTGTGAATATTAAGCATTGCTTGTTTAATTATGAATACAACAACTGAAAGCATCTGAGGAAGAAGCATATTTATTTTTTCTAAAACCATTAAAATTATCTCAAAGTAATTTTTAATTATTTAGAAGTTGTTCACTTATAAATATATGTTGACACATTTTTAACTTTGATAGACATCTTACTTTTAAGATCAAATAAATGAAATTAATTGCCATGATTTTTTGACTTTTGGTAAAATGTGTTTATAAGAAATTCTGTTATCTATCTGACATTAATCTAGAAATGAATACAATCTCATCAAAAGGAAGGCTTTTGACTATGTTCAACAAGCCTCTTCCATAAAACAACCTAAAAAATAATTTTGAGTTTAATGAATTTGAGAAAAAACTGAAAGTTAAGAAGTTGTAATTCTGTTTGAGCGTTTCAGAAAATGTTCGTTTTATATATCTAACTTAATGCATTTATTTGCGTTTATATTAGCTGCTATTAAATTTTCTCTTAATACCATGCAATTTCATTATAAACCTAGAGCGTTTTCTTCAGTGCCTAGTGGGCTTACCTTATTGAATCATAGTGTTAATGCAACCAATAACATTGATTTAAATATTTTATTTACTGTTTGTCTCTCTTTAATGGTGATGGACTAAGACGTTCATTCAAGCAGCTATCTTGTAAATGCATACTTTGAGTAAAAACATGTACCTCATGTGAAAATGACATTCTGCAGAGGCCACAACCACACATAGATGACTGTGATAATTATAGATTACCCATAGGTTTGTTCACACTCAACCTTAGGGCTAATAGATCCTGTCTCGTAGCAGTACATCAGGCACTCCAGAGTTGTGTATGAGACTATACTGCTTCCACACCTGATGCTGTGTGTGTGTAGACGTGACTACAGGTAACCCATATCCCCACTAATCGTTGACTTTTTGCCCCATTGTTGACTTTAGTTTAGTGTGTACTATACTACTGTTATTCCTTCTAAGGCCCCTGTTTTCTGATTTCCTAATTCTCAGTTCAGTTTTCTGCCTGGTTTGAGCTGAGCTTCAAAGAGCAGTCTGAATATCTGGGAGGTGATACCTGGGTGAGGAAACTAATTTCTGATAGTCATTATCAATGAATACATGCTATTCATATTTAATCAACTGCCTGCCTCTCTTTATACTTCTCTTTCTGCCTCCCAGATCCCTGATAGTAGAAGTACTCAGCATGCCTCTTAGATTACCATGAGAGGAGGAGAGAGAATGTATATATATGTATGTGTGTGTGTGTGTGTGTGTGTATATATTTATGTGTATATATTTATGCATATATATTGCTTATCAATGCACTCTGAGGATAATTTCTATAAATTTTGGATTTAGACAAAACTAAAATAGTCATAATTTTGTTGCTTTCTAGATGTGTAAACCTGAACAAATAAGTTTAGCTCTATATCCCAGGATTTCCATTTCTAAAACTGTGATGATGATAGCTATTCACAAACTTGTTTTAAAGTACCAAGAGAGAATATATATCAAACAATGGGATGCCTCATACCCTATAAAGGTTTGTAACATTATTTACCAATTTAATGGACATATGTAATTTTGTCTCTGATTATTTTGCCATGTCATTGTCAATATGTATGATATATTTTATAATTTGATATTTCAAAAGATAACAGAAATATAATACAAACTTGGATGACCTCAATATTTTTTCCTAGTTTTAAGTCCCCTAAAAACAAGATTCTTAAAATGCCACAATAAAAGAGTGATACAATGTATTTCTGAATTTATTTCAAATTTTTAGACATTTTTTCTTTGGAGAACTTAATTTGTATAAGTAGCATGTATGATCTATCATCTTTACCTTTAAAACTGTCCAGCAAAAATAAAATGTGGTTTTACAAACCTCTTATCATTAAATTATGTAGTTGTCATTTGGACTGTAAAGTAACTTCCTGTTTTTTTCAAATCCAACTTGATTTACTGTTTTAATGCTTGCTTTTCTTCTCTGTCAGATAAAAACTGCAGTAGACATTGATGAATGTACTTCCAAGATCTGGAAAAATTGAGGTGTGAGATTTTACTGTAGTTGCCTGCCAGGAAATAATCAGATATTTATGCATTTTAGACCTATCAAATGAATTTTCATTTCAAATGAAACTTTTCAACTCACTAGAGGTTAGAATTGACATGTTAACAATTCTCCAAGAGTTGCTATAATTCTCCTTAGAAATATTAGGCTGTGAGAAACTCAAATATTACCTTACTATGCATTTATATGAATATTTACCATAGATGCAGGAACTAGTATTCTGTGTAGGTGGAATCATAAGAGCTTTCTGAACTAAAAGACTGATACAATACTATTTAAGAAATTCACTGTAACATGGAATTGTATAACATTTTGGGTTCATCTAAAACTTTAACCCGAACTTCCTCAGATTATTAACGTTTCTGGCTCTTCCTTTAAAAAGCTTTTAGTAATTCTAAAACTATATAGAAAAACACATAAATTAGCAACTATATTGTTATGAATTGTTTAAAAGTTAGTTATATATAAGTTAAATGAATTTATGTTTATATAGTAGTTCCATCCTTTAGAAAATATTTAATACTTTCAAAATGTGAAGAAATTTTGTGTTAAGCTGTTGGCAATATTAAAACCATTAATATGTGTAAATGCATGTAGGCAGTGTTTTGTGAAATGATAAACTCATTGAATTGTAGAAGTGGTTAGATTATTACACCCTTGGTTTTCAAGAAATGTACCCAAACTCTTGGTGGGATACAAACACAGTCTAAGAGCTTCAAAAATGTTCAAGATAGTGACTAAGAACTCATGTTCTCAACTTAAAAATCCTCCTACAAATATACTGAAGATAACAAGTAGAGTGGGTGAGAACTCACAACATGATATGAAAATTATATACATTTTATTAAGTAGTGATTTTCAGTATTATACACAATGACTACTTGTATTACATCATGTGACTTTTAATACCATTTCATTTGTTTCTCTGTTAAAAATTACCGAAACTCTTAGACAATGTGCCCTAGTTTTTGGAGTAATCTTATGTGAACGTTTCTTCTGTTTTTGCATGCAGTGAGGTCCCACCCATCATCTTTGGTGAAGCACATGTCAGTTTAGTTGGTCATATTTCTCTCTTTAAACAGAGGCCTGTCTTTACCTGTCTCAGCAGTCAATTATGTTCCTAGATACTTCTCATTTAAAACTTTCTTCAAAATGTTACTTGGCCCCACAAAGCAGCCTCCTCTTGGCTGTTCATTTCTCTGCTATGATCTGATGCTCTGTGTTTGACATTGATATTACTGCTTTGCTGCTATTTCGCACTCACTTTCTCACTGCTATAGAGGGAATAATATCATACACTCTGCTTCTAGAAGGGAAGTGTAAGTTCCTAGATGAAACGTAACTTGAAAATGGATTTAACAATATTGCTTTTGTAAAATTATTAAGCACTCCCTCGGCAGTAGCCACTCAGAGACGTTCATATTTAATAATGTTTTGCCACATGGTCTCTACAAGGTCTCACCGAGACCTTGAGTAGAAACAGGCAAGATTATGCCATGAAGGGCAGGGCTGCACGGAATTCATTCAGGACAATAATTTGGGAGATGCAGTGCAGGTGAGAAAACAGTGCTGTACCTGCTATGACCCCGAGATTTCTATGTTGGCTGAACCTGTGGAGCTGAAGAAAGGAATAATTACAGAGTTCAGGACCAGTATTTACCATAGAGTCGGCATATTGTAGTCTCAAAGGGAATTACCTGTTTTTCATTTTTGTTTATTTCTAGAGTTAGAAAACAATTCCGTTTTATTTTCATATTTTACTGTGAAAATACATAAAACCACACAAAATAAATACTATCTTAATAAGTTATTATAAGATGAACAAGGTAATGCACTCTTATAACTACCACCTAGGGGAAGAAGTCGAACTTCACCCCTAAACATCTTCCATGTGCCCAGTGGCAACGTACCACCTCCCTTTCTGCAAAACTAACCAATCTCCTCATTTTCAGAGAATCACTTTCTTGCTTTTATAATTCAAGTGTTCATTTCTAGGTGGCAGTGTTTAGTTGTGCGCATTTTTAAAATATACTTTCAAGTATATGGCACAGATCAATGTATTCATTACTTCATTCCAGAGCTACCAAATTCAAATTCAGCATTATATAATCTTACACTTAACATCTTCTGCATAATATTTGTATATCCTTTCTTCCATAATAAAAGTCTAGTCTCAATAAAATAAGGGACAACAAAATCAGAATATCTCATTTTTCATATATAAAAAATATTAAAAAGTATATATAAAAATATAATCAATGTAACATTTTAAATTTTGTTCATATATTGCCCTCATTTTCCTCTAATTTTTATTATATATCTATATTCTGAGCCTGTAGGCATTATATACAATACACTTTCCTTTATCTAGTTTGGGTTCTGTAAGTAGATAGATGTACAGTGCACACTACCTATTCTCATATTGATCTCTGCTGCTTATTTTGGTTGTTTAAAGCTTATTTATCTAGGATATACTTCAGAGAGGGCTAATGGAAATAATTCTTGCATTCTTGGGTGTTCATGATCATAGGTCTGTGATCTTTATACTTGAAAGTCAGTTTTACTCTGTAAAATCTTTGACTCACATTTTCTATTTTTCTCACAGTTTAAATATTCTTAAGTATTTAAATATATCATTTTTTCTGGCATAATATGTTGCTGTTGAAAAGTCTGATGTTAATCTAATTTTCTTTTCATTGTAAATCAATTGCTGTTTTTTATCTGCTACATGCCCAAAGGGTATTAGTTTTTCATTGAAATGCAGTTATTTTATTAGAATATATCTGAGTGTTGTCTATATTTTCTTTAATCTTTCCATGTAGTTTGAAACCTTTTTCTTTTTCAGGAAAGTTTTCTTTAATTATAATAATGTTTAATTATATAATGTCGTATAATGTTTGTTCATAAAAAACATTAATTATATAATGTTTGTTCATTTTCTTTCTTTTGCTTCTTTTCCAGGGAGTCTTTTAATTCAAATATTGAATCTTCTTTGCATAGTTTCAATATTTGCCTATTTCTCTCAAATCATTTTTATCTCTTTCTTAATTTCCTTTTTACTTGATTTTTTTCAAATAATTATCTTACGTAATTATTGTATGTATCCTTTGTCATGTTCTTTTTGGTATAATATTCATTTCTGAAAGTTTTCACTTTGTGATTCTTTTTTGAATTTGATGACCTCATTACTGAGTATTCTAATTGGTATTTTGTATCTTCATAGCTTAGGTTATTTTCTCAAAATGTTTTAGCTCATTTTGAAATAGTAATACATTGCAGATTGGATCTCACTTTGACAATGTTTTCATTATTTGCTTTTATTATTTTAGAAACTTTCATTCACTTTAAGAATATTGTTCCATTTCTTTTAAATAATTTTGTATTGGAGTTGATTTTGATAATTTCTTTTGCTTATTTTCACAAACTATTAGTCTTTATGGATGTTTAGAAAGAGACATAATTCAGGGTAGCTTTCTTCAATTCACAGCAATCTGTCTCTTCTCTTGTTTTTGTTTGTTTGTTTGTTTATTGTTCTGGTGTATATCTGCTTGCATGCTAAGATATCTTAGGTCTCTGATTCCTTCTCCTACTATTGTCTAGTCTTCTCTGTCTTTAATGTCTATTTTCCCTGTCCTACTCAATTTCTATTAAATTTCTTACAATTTCTCCCCAATATGTAGCCCTGTTTGGGAAGACAACTGAGGCAGCTCAATATTGTGAGTTTATAGGGATGCACTGTTCTGAAGATATTTTTGTTTATCTGTTTTAATCCCACATTGTACAAGCAGACAAAATCCTTCGGAGCTTACTATTTGTCTTAGTCCATTTTGTACTGTAACAGAATACTTAAGACTGGGTAATTTATAAAGAAGAGAAATTTATTATCTTATAGTCTGGAGGCTGGAAAGTCAATATCAAGACACTAGTAGGTTCAGAAGATGAAAGAGCAAAAAGGGATGCAATTCCTCATCAAGCACTTTTATAATGGCATTAATCTATGTAGTAGAGTGAAGACCTCATAACCTAAACATCTCTCAAAATGTTACACTTCCGAACACTGTTGCACTGGGGATTAAGTTTACAATACATGAATTTTGGAGAGGACACATTCAATCATGCTGCTGTTCTCAAGTTGATTTACTATGCTTTCTAGGGAATACTTCACATCTATTTAAGAATTATCTTGTCTTCAGGCCCATACGATGCCATATTATTTCCCTTGGTTGTCAGTTGAACAGATGTATGTGACACATTGTTCTTGGTTCTTGTGAATAATTTTAGAGTTGCTGTTGTTGGTATATGTGAGTATGTATTCATGGGGATACCATGTCACTAAATTTTGTTGTGCATGCCATTCATGGGTTTTAAATTTTATTATCTAGTTGATCTGCCTGTTATTAGATGGGCATTCACAGAAATCTAAAAACTATTTCAACACTACCATTATTTTTTCCAGAATTCCATTTATAATATGGAATAGTCCCATTCTGATTGTTTAGATATATGCCAATGTATTTTTACTTTAAGTGCATATTCCAAACAAATTTTCTGATATCAAATAGGCTGAAAGTTAAAAACCCTAATGGGTAGTTTATATACTAACAACTTTCTTGCTCTCTAGAGTGGATTTAAATTATTTGTATTTTTAAAATAAGTTTTTGTTTTTTTTCTAAATTCTACATTTTTCTGCAATTTTTTAAGTTAGTGATAACTACTTCATCCATTTAGCCATAATCCATTTTAAATACATTCCTTTTGTTTGGCTTTAGTAAAGACAAATTTATAATTAAAAACTAAAACAACATGTCCAGCAATGATAAAAGAATGACCATTTCTTAAGGAAGAGAGGTCTTTAAGATAGTAAATGTCATATTAACCGTAAACTGTGAAATAAAAAAGTGACAAATGTATGTATAGGTGATTTCTAAATAATGTAAAATGCAATTTAATATTATCATCCATTTTATCCTGAGTTTATTATTATACTATGCTTTTAGTAAATATTTATTGGATTATGAATAGTGCCGGGCATAGAGTATTAAATGGTCAATAGTAGGGAAAACTGTTCTGTTTACAGTTGAGTGGGAGATACAGACCAGTAAACTTAAACATAGACATGAGTGGTATCATGCGATGCAAATACATAACAGGAAGTATTGAAGACACAAAGGAGGGGGACCTAATCCAGATTTGCCCCCATAGAAAAAGAAGATTTCTCAAAATAAGTCTCATCTAGAATGGGATATAGTTAGTAACAGGAATTGGCCAGGATGCTAGTGACCTCTTTATCACCAAGAAAACAGCATTAAAATCCCTAGCCATGATATAACCTACAGTGTACCCACAAACAAAAAAAAATTAAAATTACAAAACTCTAGATGTAAGAATGAGAAAAATATTGTAGGAGATTGAGAGAAGGTTGTTATGAGTAGAGTCCAACAGTGAGTGCATGTGAGTGACTGCTAAGTGTGGATGCAAAGAAAGTGACAAGACATAAGGTAGAGGCCTAACAAGGGTGAAGACTCTCCAGAACCTTGTAAAACTTGCTGAGATATTTGGGCTTTTACCTTAAGAGGATTTGAGACATATGTGAGGGTTTTACACTGCCAAATGTCATGTTCATATTTGTGTTTCAAGAGAGAGAAGTTTTGCTGCTGGATGAAGAATGAATTAGCACGTAGATAAGACCCAAAGCAGGAAAGCCACTTAGAACGCTGTTTTTGTAATGGAAGGGAGATTTAATGACAATCAGGATTAGATAGTTGCAGTGGTGAAGGAAGAGTGGATTTATTATACAGTATTTAGGAATTGTTTTAACCTCATATTTTTACTGAAGTAAATGGAGATAAAATTACAGGACGTGTGTATCACTTGAGTTTAATTAGTGAAAGTGAGGTTCTGAAAAGAAACATCAGTTTTCTGACAGGAGCATCTATATAGACTTGGTGTTATTTACTGAAAAACAGGATTAGAAATCAAAGGTTTGGGAGAAAGATAATGATTTATATTGGAAAATATAAATCTGACTATTTTATGGGCTTCCCAAATTAACCTTTCAATAGCTGTTCAGATATTTCAGTTGAAGGAGAGATTTTGAAGCACAGAAGAAAAATCTGAGCTAAGGATGTAAACTTGGAGTCAATCATCTAAAAAATAAAAATTAAAACCAGTATAATGTATGAGTTTACTCAGGTATGTATACAAATTGAGAGGAGAAAGAGAGCCCATGACCAAAGCTGAGGCATGTCAATAATTAAGATACGAGTAGAAAAACCACAGAAGCTACATCGAGAGACACACAAAGTAAAGGATAAAAAACAGTGAGAAGTGTAGCTGAGAGGAGTGCACTTAAGAGACATCAACAATAAACAATGTCATCTCGAGATTATGTAAGATGGGGACCAAAAGATCGCAGTTTGGATTTACCTTTAATGATGTCCTGTAACAATGGCAAAAAGCAATTTCTGTAGAGGGAAAGGCAGAAGTCACTTGTTCTGTGACTGAAATTGAGTTGACTTAAGGAAATGGAGAAAATGAGTATAAGTTAAATCTTTAAAGGAAGTTGGCATCAAAGGAAGGAAGAGAGAAAGAATGAGGATGATGTAAGATGAAAGTTTTCTGTTTTCTTTTAAGGTAGAAAAGGCTAGAATAGTTTTAAATGCCGATCAAAGAAGACAGTAAAAGCAGAAGTTTGAAGATGCAAGAGATGAGGAAGGAGATACTGAATCCCCCAAAACTTCAAGCTTGAGTAACAACCACATGTGTAGGAGTAATATCACATTTATTTTCGGAAAGAAAAAGAGAGTACCAAAAATGTAGGAGAAAATGTGTGTAAACATGAAGATTACGAGTCCTAAATTTGATGGAGTGCTTCTCTTCTGCCTTCTATTGTCTCTGTGAGGTAAAAATTTAAATCATCTCTTGAAAGGATGATGTATTTTAGCAAGATTAGATATTAGAGGAGTGCAGAGAAATTTAAAAGTATACTAAGGTATCTAAGAAAGGTTTATAAATAGCATGAGAATTTAACAGATACTGCAGAGCATGGCTTATGAGTAGAGTTGAACATAAGCAAACAATTATTGCATTAATTCAAAGAATTGCTTGCCAACAATTTTTTTTAACATCAGAGCACAAGTAAAAATTGGTAACATTTTCTGACATCTGTTACATACTTACAAGCCTTCTTGAAGCCAGAGGTAGCTGGCCTATGATACCTAGAAACTGGTATTGGCCAGTTTCTATGTCCTGGGCTAGGGCTAAGGGGATTAATATCTAGTCCCACCTGGAACTCACATGTTGGTACATAGACACACAGGTGAGAAGCTATGACTACTCTCTGCTTTCCTGATATCACTAAAAAAATTCAAAGGAGTGAAAATATTTGCACAAGAGTGGCCTCATGGAATAGAAGAAAAAATAGTACAAAGGCCTGAAGGTCAAAGTAAAAGTGTAATGGGAGAAATTGAGAATGGGCAACAAGGATAGGTGATGGAGGTCACACTTGATTAACTGAATAATAATATGTCAGCAGAATGTTTGTATTCATTATTTGAGAGAACAGTGAGGGCAATATCCTTGGATTAGCCATGGGAGGGTGTGACTGATGTGAAATGGATTTCCTTAACATTCGACTCCGTTGGAAAGTAGAATGTTGAGAAAATGAGAAATGCACTGATTTCATGGATGCTCTAAATGCATGTTGGCATTAGCCAAGATGACAGAAATAGGTTTGAAAAATCTCTCAGGCAATAAAATCTTTAGTATAAGAGGAAGAGTTTCTAAGAGAAGGAGAAATGCAATGAGGGCATAGAAGATAACGTCAAAAATTGTCATTAGACTTTGCAATACAGTGATTTTTATATGAATAGGAATTAATGTCCAGGAAGTAGCAGTGTGACCTGAGGATATTAACCCTACCTTCACACTATTAACCTGCTAGCATGTGATAGAATTAATATCTGCCTCTTTAATAAGCATATCCCTTACTGAAACTGTAATTAAATTATTAGTTGACTCTATGCTCATTATATAACATGTAAATAACAGAAGATATTAAAATTATTAAAAACAGGAAACAAAATATTTTTTAAAAACATGGTGAGTTTGGTAGGAGGGTCTTCTCACTGCCATGGTACTTTTGCGTTATCCTGTCCATGAGTGGACAACTTTATGCAATGGGAGACATTACTTGCAAATATTAGGAAAGCCCAAAATCTTCTATTTTTTAGGTGTCTCTTTACTCCTCCTAGTAGTTAATTATGTTTTCTAGTTAATAATTACGTATAAGAATTTTTCCTGTTCAAATTACTAATGTAATTCCTGTCTCCTCTCTGGACCCCCAACTGATACACCCATTGATTTCTGGCTTTGACAATATTTTATACATTCTAAAGCACACTTATTGTATTTCTTCACATCATATCTAAAACCAGAGAGCCAATAATTAATGGTGTGTTTGTCAATTTTGTGATGAATTGAGCAATCTGTGGCATCTTAGATTTCATTATTTTTTTTTATCCTTTACTGTTTGTGTTAGACTCCAATTTTTAGGGACTAAGGAAGAATAATCATTTAATTATGTCCAGCTATTCAGAAAGAATATCCTGTTCTTGGGTGTAGACATATGTATTTTAAGCCTGATTTTAAAAATGACCTGCTGCAGGACTTTGAGTTAGTTTGGAAATGGAAATTTCCAATTGAATTCTCCACATACATGTCTCTTTGTCCCTTTGGGGATATAATTAACTTTTTCTCACTCTCTAGTTCTCTTCTTTTCTTTAGTTTGATCCAACAGACACAGATTATTAAGAATAGCAGATATCTTAATTCTTGAAAGTATATTGCCATTTTCCTCCTAACAAGGCCATTTTCCTAAGCTGATTAGAAGTAGAATTAGTAAAAGACCATGACCTTTCTCTCCTCTGTCGTTTCAGGAATAATAATTCTATATGCTAAATGTTACATATCACATTTAAATGACCAGTCCCATTTGATATTGTTAAGCAGATATTTTATAGCCCATTTCCCAATTATTGCATGCACAGTATATCATTAGTATCTTCACAATGCAATATGTAACTATTTGTGAATTAATTACTTTCACTGCAGTGAGATTAGTGCATGATTAGCAAATGTCTACTAAGAAAGGAACTCATTTGAAAGCATAAAATCTAACCAATTTAGATAGCTTCCCTAATGAATTCAAGTTTGAATCAATTTGTATTCAGTCTTTTGAATATGTTGTAATTTTGACTAAAAACTGAGACAAGATTATTTCTATAAATCTAATATCTTCTTTCTGAAGCACTCTGTGATATAAAGTCTACTGTATCATGAAACAGGTCTGTTGTACTTTTTCTTTCAACTCTGATGACATGCCTAATAAGCTCCTGCTTCATTATACAAAAAAGTATTCATTTATGAGACTGAGCATTATAGGAAAATGGGTTTCCATATTGTTATTTCACCTGAGAATATTAGGAAATCTGCAAGTGTATAATTGCCAAGAGTAATCTTGTTATTACCAATTGTACATGACCTGGAAATAGGTTCAAAATTGCTAAAGGTACAATCAAAGATAATTTTTACATGACTCACAGCTTTAAGAAATTTATGTAATTTCACTGGCTTCATCTTATCAATTCTAGTAACAATATACATGTTTGGACAGTGGCAAGTGGTAATGTTTAATAAATTGAGATTATTTTATTAACCATTTACTGATATGAGGAATCTCTGTGGGATCCAGAATGAAAAGGCTTGGCCAGGCTCAGATGCTGTGGCTTTGAAAATGCCATGCCCATCAACAAGCAATGATGTCCCTAGCCTCTTTATTTTTGTGGTTGTCATTGAACTAATTAAACCAAGATGTTTGAACAAAAACTGAAGGCAGTCAATATGCTTATTTTGCAGGAGGGCCATTCAGTTGTAGATATCTGTAAATAATGTAGACAGCCAATGAAATTTACATTTATTGGATAGGTTCTAATAGCAAGGACCATAGGAAAACCATAAGGTAGTAAGTGTGGGGATTGAAAACAAATACATGTGACACATTCTTCTGTGCACTGTCAAACGTATTAATTTACAAGGCCAACTGCCAGTTATAAAAGTTTCCTAGGCATGTGTGGCAATAGTGTGAAGAAGAATTACTATAAATCTGATCTTGTGTATTCCCATTTAAAAGATGTTGCTTTCTGGCCAGGTGTGGTGGCTCACGCCTGTAATCCCAGCACTTTGGGAGGCCGAGGCGGGCAGATCACAGGTCAGGAATTGAGACCATCCTGGCTAATGCTGTGAAACCCCGTCTCTACTAGAAATTAAAAAAAAAAATAGCCAGGCGTGGTGGTGGGCACCTGTAGTCCCAGCTACCCTGGAGGCTGAGGCAGGAGAATGGCGTGAACCCGGGAGGTGGAGCTTGCAATGAGCAGAGATCGCGCCACTGCACTCCAGCCTGGGAGACAGAGCGATACTCCATCTCAAAAAAAAAAAAAAAATTGTTTTTTTCCCAGACAAATCACTTTTAAGTAAATCCTTTGATTTGTTTTTCAACACTGAAAAAAATTTAGTTGGCCTAAAGCCATTAGCAGATTATCATCTGGGAAGTAAGTATTTCTAGTCAACAAACTGTATCACAGTTGTGAGAAAATTTTCAATTTATAAGACAGGTCCTGTGATGATTTTATTATGTCACCCCAAATTTTAATACATGCCTATTAATTGACACCTGCTCTATAAACTCATGTTCTCCATCATGTTATTAGACACCTGAAGGCTCAGCACGCCTAGATTCTTAGTCACAAAGAAAGAGGCCTAGGGGTTTCCTGGTGGCTTACTCACACAAAGAATCAGATCTCAAGTCAGCCTGCCACTTCCATGCCTAGTGTCTGTGTTTGCAGTGAGCTCTAGAGGTGAACATTAAAATTAAGGATCAGCCTTTCTGTGAGACTCACCTTCCAGGGCCATCCTGACTATTCAGCTCCTTTAACTAAGATCTTAGGTACTCACTTCCCAGCTTTCAGTCCAAGGTTTGCATATACAATTTTTCCAATTTATCTCCAGAGATCTATAACGTTTCTAGATTCTACCTGAGGAGGGAATAGAGGGCAAGTCCACTTCTGGTATTACAGAAACACAGACCACACTTAGACCTATTGGGTCTGTGAGTGTTTGAACCAAGAAATAGCATTCTTTTTCTCTGCCTGAGTTTGAACCATAATATAAATCATATTCTTCCATCCAACAAAGTACTGGTATTAGTATATAGCTATTACTATATAGCTATATAGTATATAACTTTTATAGTATATATATAGTATATAGCAGAGTATATTAGTATATAGCAGAGTATATTAGTATATAGTACATATATTATACTATATTATATATTATATATACTATATATCATATACTATATATCATATCATATACAGTATATAGTATATATGATATATGGTATATGGTATATAGTATATATGATATATCGTATACTATATATCACATAGTATATGGTATATATATCATATACTATATGATATATAGCAAATTCAGGACTTAGGACAATCCACAAAAAAATAAAGAGAAGAATAGTATACTATATGATATATAGTATACTATATATGATATATATATCATATATATCATATATATATCATACATATATAATATATAGTATATGATATATAGTATACTATATATACTATATATTATATATATTATATATGTTATATATACTATATACTTATAATATGCAATATATAATATACTATATATAGTATATTAGTATGTAGCAAAGTATGTTACTGTATAGCAGTATTAGTATATGGCAGAGCATTAGTATATAGCCTAGTGTAAAGTATTAGTGTATAGCTTAGTGTAAAATTCTTCCATCCAACAAAGTATTACATTAATAATAAAGTCTAGGAGGATATAGCTTAGTGTAAAATCCAAATGAGTATGTCCAGTCTGCAGAGCAGAGTACTTAGACTATTGGCTTCTATCAGTACCAGTGAGGAAGGCAAGAGACAGTGATTTACTCTTCTGCCAACTTTGAAAGTTTAGCTGTACTGTAAACTAACAACTTTGAGCCAATGGCTATTTGTCACCATTTAGATAACTCTTTGTGCCATTTTTGGGAAGAAAAAAATTTGAATAACAGAAGGTCAAGAGTTTTAAGGCAAAGTTACTCTGAATGAAAACTAAGCATGGAAGAGAAAAGACATTTCCTTTAACTTTAGATTTCTACCTCATTTAATTACATCATTGGTGAAAGTATTGACTTTCTCCCAAACTCCTTGGATCAGACACCTTTTGGCCATTATTCTGACCTGGGTTGTAAGTGAAAGAGCTACTGCTCTGACTTGATTTGAAATTATGGGACATTTACCCCCATTTTTCTGACCATACTCTATGCTCTAGTTCTCCCACAGTAATAGTACTTAGTGCCTTTTTCTTTTCTACTGAAGAAGAAATCTCATATAACGTGCTATACAGTGAGATTTTTATGTTAAAGTAAGACTTTTGTTTAGAATAAATGTAGTTTATAATACATTCCACAAACCAAAATATATGTAAAAAGGAATTTGATGGTGATCAAACAAGTTCAGTAGGATAAGCAATAGCTTCCACCTCTACATTAATAATAACCAGATTTAATAATGATATTCATAAATATTGAAGATTGAAAGACATTTACATATAATTTCAGAAAATTGTAAAATATGTAAATTAAGTTCTTATAATTCTATTTTTTCTTTGTTTTATATAAACAGTTGCATTTCTATGTAATTTTCATATACTAATAATGGACTCTGACTTCCAAGAATACATGAATTCATTTAAAATATTTAATGTGGCCCAACTTTGCGCTGTGAACTATTTTGTCAACTATTTTCCAACAGCTAAGGATGGAAAAGAAGGTACTTGCTATTGTGTGCTAATTTTCAAGTGGGAGGAAAACCAAACAAAAATAAGAAATACACAAACTCATACCCATATACATGCATGTCTATGTGTGTAATAAGTTTTATAAAGCAAAGTAAAAGACGGTGATGTGAGAGGAGTTACTGGATAGTAAAGATAATCCTCTTTATGCGGTTTCCATTTACACCAAAAACTGGATAAGAATGAGTTATCCTCCAGAGAAGACTTTCCAGTGATAGAAGTTGTTAGAGCAAGACCCTCAGGTAAAAATGGGTTTGGTAAAATAATCTAAAGAAGTTCAGTGTGGCTGGAAAATAAGTGAGCAAGAAAGGATTACTATGTGTTCTAAACTCAAAGGTTTTCAGGGCCTTATCATATAAGGTAAGGAGTTTGGAGTACTGCCATTAACTTTCTTACTGGATTTGTATTTCCTAATTATATTACACTTAAAAAAATTACTCTGGATGTGTTGTGCACTGCATTAGAGTAAGAGTGAAAGCAGAAAAACAGTTAAAGCAACTCTTGTTCTCATTGGGGATGGGGATACTTAGACTAGATATTGGTAATAGAGATGGAGATAAATAGACAGGTTTGGTACATTTTTAGACATAAAGTTGCAAAGATTTACTAATAATTCAGGGAGGGTGAGGAACAATAAAGAATAACTCTTGGGTTTTGTTATTTATCACAGTTAATAAGGAAGGTAGAGCTGCTTAGAGAGTTTTGTTTGCCCATGTTGAATTTGAGATGCCTAGAATATGTCCAAGTGGTGTTGTCAACTAATATTTAATTAGGCATTGAAGCCAGGAGTTCCTGGGACTGGAGAAATTTTGATTTGGGAGTCTGTCATGTAGAGGGCATGATACGGTTGAGGTTTCTGTAAATCAGTTGATGGTTTCAATTACATGAATAGGTAGAAAAATATAATTTCAAATGAAAGAATGAATAAACAAAAATAAAGGTGACATCCAATGGACAGGAGAAAACAGGAAGCAAATTCAGGATTTAGGACAGACCACAAAAAAATAAAGAGTAAGAAGAAACAGAAAACCCAGAGTAAAGAAAGCATAGAATGTTTGAGATACTATGCATGAAACAGAACTCTAATTATTTGGATTGCTTTTTGGTCAATGGATGATTCCTACATGATGGTTCCTATGAGGAGAAAACGATCACAGTGTGATTTAGCCCAGATGGTGCAAGCAATTGAGGAATATGATGGAAGTAAATATCATTAAGTAACAGATTAAAATTCAGTTAAACAATTAAAAGGAAAACTAATTTAAATGTATATGTGTGTGTGTGTATGTGTGTGTGTTAGGTGGAATTGAAACATAGACCTAGAAATACATGAGGAAGAAAAAATATGATTATTTAGAAATTAACACATGAAACTTATTTTAAAATGAAGTGTCTGATAGTCAATGTACGTTCATCAGTTGTCACAAATGTCTCCAGTCTGGTGGGGGATGTCGATAATGGGAGAGATTACGCATGTGTGGAGTGAGTATATGGGAAATCTTTGTACCCTCTGCTTAATATTGCTGTGAACCTAAAACTATTTAAAAATTAAAGTCTATTTTAAAATAATGAGATGTAGAATGCTTGATTGTTTAATTTGTCTGCCCAGAAACTTTTGAAAAGGATACATGAATGCTATTTTATTGAATGTGTTCAAACTACTTATGCTTATTAATTTATTTGTCAAATAAGTGGAAATTTTACTACAGCTCACTGAATCAAATTGAAATCTCATTTAAATTCAATCTACATTTTGGCAATAAAAGCTCTAAAATTATATACATGTACACCTTAAATGTGGCCTATTGTTGCCAAATCATGTGGAACACACTCTGAAATTGAAGAGTCAGTCGCAAAATCTGTTTCTGGCAATCTTTATGATATTTATTACATCATTTGGAATTTTATTATTTTGTTAATGATTTGTCCTAAACAGGATTGAAAATGATTACCTGTCCTTTACAGATACAGTATCATTGGCATTTTTCTGCATTTAGTCTGTTAATTTTTCATTCATTTAACAAATGGTTTTTGAGCACTAATATCAGACAGTAGCTATTCTAAGAGCCATGGATACTAGAAAATATTTTCATAAGCATACATTTTAAAGAAATTACATATATATGTATGTGTGTGTATATATATATATATATATACACATATATATACACATGTATATACACATATATATATATGTATTTATATATGCAACTGACTGCAGAAGAAGGTGTAAACACTAGAAAAGTGTTGTGCTAACCTGTACCCAGAAAGAATAGGCAGAGGATACCTGAGATGATCCAGGTTTTAAAAGGAAACCAGGTATTCCCAGGCAAAATCACAGGCATTTAAAAATTCATTGTGGTTACTTGGGTAAGAGGGTGAACAAGAAACAGGGAAGGATAAGAGAGAGAAGACCAAGAAGGAAGGCTAGGTACAGACCATGATGTTCCTGTAAAGTATGCTGTGAGTTTTTTACATCATCCTCTAAATTTGTATTTCTCCTGCTAAAGCACTGTACTTTAGGGGATGAATTTAAAGCTTCATGAAAGTCACAACAGTGATTGTAGAATCATCTTGGACTGTCAAGTTTCCCTATGGGTGTATACGTATTGTGTTATAGAATGTGTTATATATTAATGAGGATAAAATATGATGCAAAATCCAAGATTTGCATGAATTTAAAGTGTCAAATTTGAAAAAAAAAAAAAGTCTTCCTTGTAGGTGTCTTGTCAAACCCTCCTGATGTCTAAGATCATAAATTCTTTATCCTCATTAGTTAGGATTGCTCTAATAGATTAGTTTGGGAAATACGGATGAGGGGTGGAAAGAAATTGAAGGCTGAAATTGTTAGCTATTTCATCACATTTGTCTTTTAGAAATACAAGCTCATGGCAGTGTGACATTCAGGTTGATAAGGGGAAGCTGGGATCAGAAGACACAGAGACATATTTAAGAATAGTAACCTAGAGAGGGACAGGGTGATTGATTCCCCTGTGTGCAGGAATGTGACCCATGTTTCTCCAACTTCACCAGAAATTTAGAAGAGTATCATGTTAATATTATAAATTAATATTTCATTATTTCTTTCCTCCTTCCAGTCTTTGGGAACTTGAGGACTGTAGGAATCTCCACAAAGTGTATTTGTCACAAGACAAACAGGTTTCCCTCAGTGTGACTAAACTTAAACAGGTTTCTTCCTGAGGTGCTTCTCTTGTTACCTCTTTACAGGATCTAAATGATCTAACCACAGAAGTTCCTCCCCTTCATTTTCTTAGAGAATTTACTTCAGAACCCAATAATTATAAATTCTTTCTTTGCCTCTTTGGGGTATAAATATCTTTAAAAGCCTCTTGTTCATTTAGGAACCCAAGACTATCTTTCTCAAGGACCTGGGAGCCATCCCTTTGAAGTGTAAGGAAGATAGCATATGTAATCTCCCAGTCTCTGTAGGAGGGTAGGAGACTAACTTTGGTATGCACCTTGATCCAAGTTGTAATACTACCTCCTAACTTGAAGATTGAAAAACAAATCTAATTTTCTTTTTGTTAAGGCTAAATAGCAAATGCATATGACCTATGAGCTCTCTTACCCCAGCTCTTAAAAACTCTCAACCATTGTTACAATGGAGTCAAACTCAGACTGATTTTTGGCTTCTCTCCTTGATTGCAATAGCCTTCAATAAAATCTTTCCTGATTGTTTAACTTTTTTTCTGGTTAAACTTTTGCTTTGACAGTAGGGTTCTCAATTTCCACAAAATTAAATTATCTCATTAAAAAAACTAATATATTTAAGGTTTAAAAAGTTTTCATTCACTCACATAATTCTTTTTAATATTCACTTTTTTTCTCAGCTTACCCTGATGTTCTAGTGTCAGGTATTCACTAAATATTTCATTTTGTCAGTGATAATAGTGATATTTTCTATTTAGTCCAGTACGTTGATTCCTATTAGATTAATTTGATGTAGGTTTTCTTCTTTCTAAATTCATGTTACTGTTTTACAGAATTTTTTTAAAAAAAGAAGGAATGTTTCCATTCAAATAATTTGCTAATAATTTGCATTGTGTCAATGTCAATTTTCTATTATTGTTATAAATTGGTAAGAAAATTAGCTGTCATAAGTGATAAAAATCAATTCAGTGTCAGTTGAGGCTATGATTTTCAACTGTTGGGAAATTAAGCAATCTAAGTGGTATAATAAGAAAGGTCAGCTTTAGCAAAACAAGTTCTAGGTGGAGGATGAATGAAAATATGAATTGGACAACAGTTTAAAGAAAATGCTAAGACTATATAGTTAATGGACATTTATTTGTTTTCTTTCCATATAGGCTTACGTTGTAAAATTACTAGAAAAAAAGTAATTCATCACCCTGGCACCATAATATTATATCTACAAAGATCATGAGTAGATTGAAATGCATCTACCCATTACTCATGGCTTTATTAGTAAATAGTACTCAATAACTGTGCCTTATAAAGAACATTTAGGGCCAGGCTCAGTGGCCCATGTCTGTAATTCCTGCGCTTTGGGAGGCCAAAGTGGGTGGATCTCCTGAAGTCAGGATTTCGAGAACAGCCTGACCAATATGGTGAAGCCCTGTCTCTACTGAAAATACAAAGATTAGCCTGGCATGGTGGTGTGTGCCTGTAATTCCAGCTACTCAGGAGGCTGAGACTGGATAATTTCTTGAACCCGGGAGGCAGAGGTTGCAGTGATCCAAGATCGCACCACTGCACTACAGCCTGGGAGACGGAGCGAGATTCCCTCTCCAAAACAAACAAATGAACAAATAACATTCAGCCCTCAGGGACATACATCAGGATGTTATTGATTCACCAATATTTTCTTTTCGTTCCTTTTTTATTTCCTTTCACCTAACATTTGATCTGCATTTCAGTAACCTGAAATATCTGCACCATCTCTAGACTCTCTAGCAAAAGATAAATTAGTTCACATCTAAAGAGACTTTGCATGCCTACAAACTCAGAAGAGATTAGTGTCCTTTTAGTAATTCTAAGAGAAGTTACTACAGTTTGTAGCAAGGTGAAATAAATGGGTTCTGATAGTAATATATGTGGCATTCTTATCTAATAAATTTGGTTTCAGATGTCATCCTAAGTGGATTAAAGGCTTGTGCAAATTTAAGAATTACGACTTGATACATGCCTGTCTTGTTAACACTTAACATTTTTTTTTCCTATTTTCCAAAGGTACGCAATGTGAAATTGATATAGATGAGTGTGCTTCACATCCCTGCAAAAATGGAGCCACCTGCATTGACCAACCTGGTAATTACTTCTGCCAGTGTGTGCCTCCATTTAAAGGTAATGAACACCAAGGGATAAGGAAAAGCAAACATAATTAACTTTAAAAAGCACTTCTGTCTCTTGTCTGAACTCATTTCAGTCTTCCAACAACATTATTAGTCCTTCATTTTCTTAAAGTCAGCTTCTAAAGTGACCAACCAATTATTCCTTAGGCAGAAACTAGAGTGAAATTAGTTTTGTTTACATACACACTAAAATAGTTGAGTTTCTTATTTTTCTATTTGAAAGGTCACCAATGAAACCAAAAGATACAATAAAAAAGTAAGGAAGGAATATATTACCAGCCTAGCATGTTATATTTGAAATATTCTTCTGTATTATTTAATTTCTTATGAAATTGTCAAGTTTTCTCTTCTTCTTTCTAAGCTAATCATCTGTTTAATTTTTCAGTGTTCAACTTTGATGGTATTTCTTCAACTTCAGTTCAGGAATTGTATTTTTTCTCCATAAACTAAACAAATCCTTGCTTTGCCTTATAAATATGTTAATATATTATTGCAACTAGTATATAGATACTAATTCATTGAGTACTTCCTTGAACTTTAGTATCTCTTTCTAAGCTAAGAAATTTGAAACTGTTCAACTAAATAAAATTAATTTAGATTTTTTTTAATGTTATACCTATTTACCTTAAAAAGGTATCTTATAATTACTTATGAAAAATGTAAGATTGTTTGCCTCACTTCAAATATTTTTACATCCATTTAAACACATTAAGTTATAACTTTCTCACTGTTAAATGACAATAAGAATATATCTAGCTCATTTAGTTGAATGTAATTTAAATGAGAAATGTTATTTAAATACCACAATGTCTGCCAAAAATTAATAATAATTGTTTAATTATAATTTCCAACAATGTTCTAACAAATATGTAATATTTATATAATAGACACTATTTTATCATGCTTGGGCAGGTGGGATATCAATTCATACTTATTTAATCATACATCTTTAAAGATACAGAGGGAATGGCCTAAGTAATCTCGGTAAAAATATTAGACTTCATTTTTTATTTTTTGAGAGAGGATCTCACTCTGTCAACAAGGTTGGGGTGCAGTGGTGCTATCGTAGCTCACTGCAGCCTCTGCCTCCTGGGCTTAAGTGATCCTCCCCTTAGTCCCCTGAGTAGATAGGACTACAGGTGCATGCCAGCATATCAGGGTAGTTTTTGTATTTTTGTAGAGACAGGGTTTCACTGTGTTGCCCAGGCTGGTAGACTTCATTTAAAAAATAGCTGTTTTTCTACTGCCCAGATTTTGGATTTTCATACATTCTTCAATTTAAAAAATCAAATCTCCTTAGAGATCTAGCTATTTTAGGACTAAAGCATGAAATATAGCATGAATAATATTGTAATGCCAGAAAATGTGGAAGTACTTAAACACAAAAGTCTGAGATTAAGTCAAAGCGAGCCAATGGAAGGAGCTCCCAATGATCAAAGCTAGAATGATTTGAGCACCAAAATAAAGGAATATTGGCTGGTACCCAAAATATAAATATGTAAGAGTCCATACTAATGGAAATGTATGGTTGAATGAATAAATGAGAAGTAATAGATGCATCTTTTTGTACAATAATCCCAAATAATTTATGTAGGTACTTTGAACTTAATGAAGTGGAACAAAACTCCCCATCCCTTAAATTTGGACAGCAGATAGTGACTGGCTTTCAAAGAGTATGGCATGTAAAAAGGGGGTCATGGAGGGAAGAGCAGCTTTACAGTGGAGAAGTCTGACAATTGCTACCTGAGCTACAGGACCAAGGTTAACATCAACATACACAGCCGTGTTAATAACCTAAACTTTTGATATGAAATGATGAGAATGGCACTTTTTGTCTCTCATCTTCCTTTCAAAAGTACATTTTCTGAGTCTAGTCATCAAAAAATTATCAGACAAATCCCAATTGACAGACATTCTAAAAAATACTTGACTAGAATTTCTCAAATCTGTTAAGGTCATCAAAAGCAAGAAAAGTCTGAGAAACTTTCAAAGCCAAGAGAAGCCTAAGGAAATATTACTTCTAAAAGTAATATGGTATCTTGGAAGAGATATTGGAACAGAAAAAAAGACATCAGCTTAAAACTAAGGAAATACAAATAAAGTACAGACATTAGTTAATAACATCAATATTGGTTCATTTGTTGTGACAAATGTACCATAGTAGCATAGGATATTAATACAGGGGAAACTTGTTATGGAGTATACAGGACCTCTCTGTACTATCCTTGCAACTGTTCTGTAAATCTAAAACTACTCTAAAATAAAAGTTTAATTTACAAATAAACAATTGCAAATAATTTCTGATTCAAAATATTTTACATTAGGCTGGACATAGTGGCTCACACCTGTAGCCCCTGCACATTGAGAGGTTGAGGCAAAAGGATTGCTTGAAGCCAGAAGTTCTAGACCAGCGTGGCCAACATAGCAAATCCCTGTCTCTAAGAAATAGAAAGGAAAAATGAGCCAGTTGTGGTGGCATGCTTGTGGTCCTAGCTACTCAGGAGGCTGAAGCAGGAGGATTGGTTGACCCCATAAGGTTGAGGCTTCTGTGAATTATTATTGTGCCACTGCAGCCCAGCCTGAGTGACAAAGTGAGACCCCATTTATACAATAAACAAATAAAAAACAGTAACAAAAGAAAACCTAAAACCAAAACCAAACCAAAATATTTTCCATTAAAACAAAACAGAATTTGCAAAGCATGAATAGAAATGTTAGGTAATCATAAATATTTTAACCTTCATATACTAAATACTAAATATTTTAATCTATGAATTATAGTGAAAAGGATTCTTCAGTTAATGGTAGTGCCTTAGCTTTATATGGTACATTAACACGTTCAATGGAACTGTACATACATAAAACAAAAAAGCAAAAACAAGGTTAAATTATTTTAAAATGCACATACCTAATAATGTATAATATTTTTCTGGAAATCACATCACATAAATTTATACTGTAGACACCCTATCCTAGACATAAATACATTCTAATTCAGTTTATATTCTTATACATCTTTCAGCTGGAAACATGTCTGGTATATCAGAAGATGGCTACATGTTTATCTTTTTCTTTTGCTACTAGGCACAGGCTTAATTATCTTGTATGTAGATGAGACCACGTGAATGAATTCTGACCAACAGAAAATCAATAGTAGTTTTTATCTTGCAATGTGGTTCATAAAAATATCTCACAGTTTTTAACTTTTTCATTTCTTCTACATTCTTCTTGGAGTTGCCTGAAAAACTAGAGAAAAGCCAGAAGATGGAAGAGTATAGGTCCCTAATTCTTATATGAAAAGATGTTCACAGACCAGGAATACCCCTATTATACTGAGAGATAAACAAATTAATTTATGAGTTGTTATTGTGCTACACCACTAAGGTTAAGGTACTTTGTTCTTTACAGCAACCAGCATTGTTAAGAATTAACCTTTGAATGCTAATAGGAAAGACTTTCCTTGAATACCTCACTAGAATTGAATTTTTTATTGTTATGAATAAATACAATTTTTGAAAAAGTGTATATATAATCCATCTATGAGTTCAGTTTCTATGCAAAAAGCTCAAATAATTTCTATTTGTAAAACTTAGAAACTCTTTGTTTTCTGATTAAATTCGCTCTGAGCCTGTTAGTGATTTCACAGTCTTTTTCCCAAAGAAAGAAAAATAGTACACATAAACAATGTAACTCCAGAATGACACATTAAAATCACAAGATTAAGTTGGTAAATTTTTAGTTGATTCACTAATTTGATAACTTTACTTGTTTGGAATTCAATAGATACAGGTTAGCAAAATATGTCCTGTGGGAGAATATCCAGGCCTTTACCTGTTTTGTGCCTCTCAAAAACACGACTATACTCATTCATTTATGTATGGTGGATGGCTGCTTCAGACGCAAGTACAGAGTATATGTTCTCTTTGCTTGCAAATCCTAAATTATTTACTATCTGGTCCTCTATAGAAAACATTTGCTGGCCCCTGGTGTAGAAAATGATCAAACTATAACCTATAACCTATTTTTTGAGCTAATTGTGGCTTTCTGTTGATATAGTCCAAGTTTTGTCTATTAGATGCTTATTTGCATGAACATATATTTTGATAAAATGATGTCTATCTTTTTTATATAAGAAGTAGATGACTCTTACCCCATTGTACTAGGTTAGATTCATAACTGTTTCATTTTGAGTAAAATGTGTAGCATAATAATAATACATAACTTTATGAGTTTATGCATTTATGAATTTGTTTGAAAATGTAAAGAATATGTACAGTGACTGTTTAGCAAATACATGAAATTGTAAGATATGGCACCTTGAGTGTTTTTCTGAGAATTTGAGTGTTTTTCTGAGAATTTACCCTAGTTCAAACATTTTGCCATTTATAGAAGTTACGTTTTATTACCAGTTATAACTTTTTAAAGCACATACTGGAAAAAGGTATTTGTCCGAAAAGGGAATTGTGATTATATAGTCCATTTATGGGAACAATAGAAAATAATTAGAAAAATCTTGGTGTAATTACTTCTGCAGAGCTGAATAATGCAGTGTTTTTATGCATGTTAGTTTCTAGTACTAAAATTACAGATCCTCCAAAAATAGCATAGCTTTCATACAAAATGTTATTAATGCTGTATATTTTTTGATATCTGTAGAATCTTTTTTCTTCATTTTTTAAAAAACAAATAAATGTGGAAAATAAATCCCTTAATACAATTCTTTTTCCATGAAGTGTTCATCCACTGGCGTAAGTGGTTGGCTTTGATTTAATCTGGCTCCCTTTCAAATTCTAGTCTTAGAAACTGAACTTAGCAAATAAATTTCAAATACGTATTTCTTTTTGAAGGAAAGGGTATTATTTGGTTTTCTGTTACTGTGGACTTAATTTTTCTTCAGAAATGAACAAAAATTTTAATATGTAAAAATGAGTTTTCACTTTCCCTGATATAATTATTATAATATACCTGAACAAAACCTCATGCTTTTCATGTAGCAAAGCAGGATCCAGACTGCATACATATTTTCCATGTTCGGATACCACAATTTTCTATTTTAATTAAAACAAAAAGATATGAGGAAGTCATTCCTAATAAGCACTGTTGTCATTAACGTGTCTATTGTCATGGCCAATGATGGCTTTCTGAGGCACTCTTTATTAAAAGCCCTCTATGCCCAGCACTTCCAAAAATGAATTTTGTATAAATTTGTCTTGATATACAAAATGTATTAAGTAGGGGATTTTATGTTTTGAGTGTAAAGTAAATGAGATTAAATACTGCCTCAAAGTATAAATTTTCTTTCTACATAAGAAAAGTAATTATTAAGCACATACATAAATGCACACACACATAAAAACACACACACCTGGGATTAAGCACACTTACTCATCTTTCCCCCAGAACTAAATGGGGTTGGGTATGTGAAAAATGCTATTTTTTCACATAGTTATAACTATTTCCTTAAAATATATTATAATCAGTGCTAACCAATAAGGCAACCCTTACCCAATCAGCAGTTTTAAATTCTAAAACTAATGTCCATGAAATATAATGGAAGTAAAGAGAAGATAACTGCCTACCATGTAAATGTTGTTCCTGACAAAATTGAGGAAGTGTCTTACTTACCAATGAAGTATTTAAAGAAGCAAAGTGCATTTCAGGAATAGGGCTGCTTTCTTAGTGGGTAGAAAAGACCACAATACTCAAATTGCCTATTAATATTAATATTGCCTATTAATATATCAGTGATACTGTAATCTATATGAAGTTAATGCTAGTACCTACAGAAAGGTATGATTCAACTCTCTGATTCTATGACTTTATCTTTTTTTAGATTCCACACATAAGTGGGATCATGCGGTATTTGTCTCTTTGTGCCTGGCTTAACATGATGTCCTCCAGGTTCATCCAAGAGGAGGTATTGGTAAAAGGATACAAAATTTCAGTTAGGAGAATTTATTTAATTCAAGATGCCCTGTACAACATGATGACTATAGTTTAAAACAATGTATTATATACTTAAAAATTACTTACAGATTAGATTTTGTGTTCTCACCACCTCAAAATGTGTGTGAGGTAATACATGTGTTCATTAACTTGATTTAGCCATTCCATAATGTATACATGTATCAAAACATCACATTGAATGCTACATATATACATTTTTAATTTGTCAATTTAAAAATAAAGTATGATGCACAATTCAGATTTTTAAATGTGAATTTACTGGCATCAAACTAAATTGTTGATGACTTTATAATTCATAAAATGAAACCTGCACATATTGAATTTCATTAAATGAAGGAGTTCTGGGGGAAAATAATGTTGCATATATCACTGTTAAAACAATTGTCCTTATATTTCTGTCATATATTGATGCTGAGAAATAAGTTGTTACTCTTTTGTTCTAAAATATAAAAGTTTTCAGTAGCTAATGCAAAAAAGATAAGGCTTTGTCATAAATTATTGCTTGATTCTCAAGAAAGTAAGTACTTAATAAGAATGTCATTCTGCTAAAGCTACGTATAGACAAGTAAAATGAAAATAATGTTTGAGCAAAGCAAATGTCTTATCTGCTAGAGATTTAAAGACACATGTCTCTAAATGTGTAGTAATTAATATAAAAAGCTGAAATGGTAATTAGCCATTAAACATGTTTACAAAAGAAAGTAAACAAAGAAGAACAAAACTCAGCAAAATAAAAATGCTTAAGTGTGTTGAAAGCCAGAGTAATAATGCTGTTTTCTGGATAGGGACACTCTGTTATGGGAACTTGTAATTAGAAAGCAGATTTAAGTATATATTTTTAAGTGCTTGTGAAGTGAAAAAGACTGGAGTGCAGATAATGGAGCAATTAGTTTTTCAGCCTTCACAGGCCATATTCAGTCATTCTTGTGTCAAGCTACAATGGGGATCTACAGATGCTGTAATTAAATGCTCCAGTCTACTCAATCTACAGCTATACTAAAGATTCTTGGAGTATAAAATATTTTGGCTGGGCTACCCAAACAACCATCTCTAATGTTCTGGAAATGTATTAAAGTCAAGTCCAGATCAATTTAGAATATTAACCAAAAGTCAGTTAAATTTCTTTAATGAAAATGACAATATGAGTATTATTTTGGAGGAGTGGTCAAATAAATTGAATGAACTGTAAAATACTGAGTCCATAATAAGTTATTAATCCAATAGAAAAAAAATAAACGATTCGTTAAATAGTTGAAGTTAATTTTGTCTTTCATTTGTTCTGTCTAGCAATTAAACAGTAAATATGGAGCAAATATTGGTTTTTATTAGCAGTATTGTGTTCTTCTTCCTGGTGATTAAATCCTTACCTTTAGTTCGTTGTAAGTGCTAACATGCTAAGGTTATTTTGGCAGCAAGCATATAGGGAACCTGAGTGAAAGATGTGAATATTTCTATCTACCATTTAAAACAAAATATTTTTTTGCTTCTTTTATTCCTTTCTCTTATTTTTATTTTAGATTCAAAGCTCTTTAATATCTTGGCCAAACATGTATTTAATTCTACTATTTTAATTTTATTTCATGTTAATGGACCAGACCTATTATTCCTTCTTCCTTTATAACCTATTGACTGCTCCATTTGGGTGGGTAATTATATTTGACTATATTTTCTGTAAAGTTAGCATATCAAGTGAAAAAGTACTGTAATTGACCATAAGTATAAACATATTATATGGTTTTATCAACAAGTTAATGTACGGCCCATCCCAGCTGAGTTACCTATTATGTGCAACAATAGGATGACAGGTCTGGTAAACTTAGAGAAATGTTTAACTATACCGTACGTTTTATACTAATCATTTTTATTTGCATTGTCAAAAGGAGAAAATGTACTCCTGACACTCTAACAATGAGACAAAATTATAATTAAGTTAAAAATCACAGAGAAGGGTTGTTTGCATTGAATTCATAATGGTCTGAAAGCTTTGAAAAATTGGAAAGTAATAACAACGCTATTGTTTTCTAAATGGGTACCTTTCTTCATTTCCAGCACAATACTCACCCTTAAACTGTGATATTATTCAGCATTCTGTCCTCAACTTTTAAACTTTTTCACTATATATGCTTTTCAGGTTGTTCAAATCTATTCAAATGTGTCAACTACCTATTTCCCAGCATGTGAAAAATGGTCTTTTCCCTTTAAATTGAAAGAAGTATATATTGATAAGTGCTAAACTGCCATGCATATCCTCGTATTATACATGTTCCTGGAATAAATTTAAATAAAATAGGGAGCAGAGGCAAAAGAACCTGTGGGAATTCAAAGACCTCAAAGACATTCAGTTTAGCTAAAATTACTCTGAGAACATGAAGCTGGAGTTTTCAACAGAATTCAAACCAGAACTGTCACCCAAGGAATATTAGGGGCAATGCGAAGTCATTAATCTGGGGAAAATTAAACATAAATTTGGGGAGATTATTCTAAATTATAAAGTAGAATTTGATTTTTTTCTTCTTTTGAATTAATTTTCTTTTGTGTATTTGAGATTTACAACATGATTTATGGGATACATATAGATAGTAAAATGGTTACTATAGCGAAGCAGATTAACACATCTATCATCTCATGTGGTTACTTTTCTTTTTGTGACAAGGCACCTAAAATCTACTTATGGCACACTGGAAAGAAAAAATTAACTGCTTGCAGAAATCAAGCTGTGGTCTATTGTAGAGGTATGGAAACAGGGCTTGAGTTAGGTAATTGGATAATTTCAGGAGATATTTAGGTTACAGACAAAATAGGTTAGAATGTTGTGGTGTTCAGATGTGTAAAGTAAGAAAAAAAGAAAATGATGTTCAGTTTCCTAGGTCGGATAAATGGATTGTTGCTTTAGGGAAACAGGAGTGGAAGAAGCACATTTAATGAAGAGGGAGATCAGGAGAGCTTCAAGCATACTGAATCTGTCAGATTGTAAATTATTAAAATCAAGGTTTCCTTTAAATAATCCTAGTATGTGCATCTGAAGCATAGGAGAAAGTTCTAGAAGGACTATCGTTTTATAAATCACCAGTCAAAAAGAAGTATATATGGAATGGTCAAGTTTTTTCATAGGATTGGTTACTAAGAAATACTAAAATATAAAGGCTGGATCGGGAAAGGAACACACAATGAGAAGCCAAAGATGAACACAAAAGATGGGAGAGTTCCAATTAGGAAGAAGTAGTAAGAAAGTCCTAAATAGGATTGGACAGTCCAATGTGATTTGGTGTGAAAATGGTCCAGAGAACTATTACTAAAGTGGCCTTGGTAACCTTCACAAGAAGAGTTTTCAGTGGAGTTTAGTCATTGATGATGATATATTTGGGACTGTACAGATGAAATGAAAAAGTGGCAATAGTAAAACTAGATTCCTTCTTGAAAATATTTGGTAGAAAAGTGGTAAGGAGAAACGAGGCTAAATAGGGGGAACGTGAGACAAAAGCAAGATTTGTTTATCAAAATGTTATGGGGCTTAAGAGACTATGGCTATCTTCCATTAACCCTTTCAGATCTACTCAGTGTCCAAGAAGCTACACTACATGACCTGTATTTTCCATGCTTTCTTTTGAGTTTGGCAAATGGGAGCCCCAATATGAAATAAGAGGAAAGGAAGAGACAGATGCAAATACATTTATCACCTCATTTCCCTCTGTGTTTTGCCTCAAGCTGGCTATGCCCCTCCACTGATCAGGTTATCTTCCCTAAGGCAGTGGTCTCCACACAGCTCCTCTGCCTTAGGTTCTAGCACCATCCACTCAGCTACCTCCACTCAGCTCCTGGGTGGCAGAAAAGACCTCATTCTATTTCTGGTGGTTTTCACATGCTCTGCCGCACTTTGTAAGTAGTCCCTTATTAAATTCCCCACACATTTCTGAGTTCAATTGCATCATCTCTTGCCTGCTAGGATCCAATCACACTTAGTAATCCTAATGTGTGCATAGGAAGATGTTAGACCAGAAGTAGAAACTACAACTTCAGGAGGTAGAGAAGATAATTAACAGAGAGGGCAGTGGAATGTGGTATGATGGTAATCTACAAATCTGGTGATAACATTAAATGTCATCTTAAATATAAATGGTCATAGATTTAAATGTGAAACATATAATCATAAATCTTTTAGAATAAAACATAAGAGAAAATATTTGGGACTTAGAGCTATTCAAAGAATTCTTAGATTTGAAACAAAAAACAGGATCCAGAAATGGAAAAATTAATAAATTGGACTTTGTCAAGATCAACAGTGATGAATCTGTCGTTCTTTGGTAATAAAGTAACCAAATACAAAGTATGGATGGAGATATAGGTAAGACTAGAGGTTTTACTGGTAGAAATTTGAGGGAGTTATTTGATGAAATCCATGTTCTCTGGAATTTGGAGGTATGGTTATATTCTGTGACTGACTAGAAAAATAACAATTTATAATTCAAGGAAAGTATATTAATCTATTCTCAAAATGCTATAAAGAATTACCTGAGACTGGGTAGTTTATAAAAAAAAAAAAAGAGGTTTAATTGACTCATAGTTCCGCAGGCTGTACAGGAGGGATGGCTGCAGAGGCCTCAGAAAACTTAGAATCACAGCAGAAGGTGAAGGGGAAGCAAGCACAACTTCACATTGCATGGCAAGAGGATAGAGAGAGTGGGGCAGGGGCGAAGGTGCCATACACTTTTAAATGACCAGATCTCCCATGAACTCAAAATGAGAGCTCACTTATCACAAAGGGGTGACGAAAGCCATTTATGGGGCATCTGCCCCCATAATACAAACACCTTCCACCAGGTTCCTCCCCAACTTTGAGAATTCAACAAGAGTTTTGGGTGGGAACACATAGCCAAACCATATCAGAGAGTATAAAACTTTTCACATTTAAATGAATATACATTTTCCTGTATGCTGGTGATAGTGTCTATTTCACTTGAAAATGATTTTCCTAACCACATTTTTCTTTAGGAGTTGCTAGTTTGACTAGAGTTAATATCTACCCTCAACCACATCAAAAATTATTCTTGGAATCTTGAATGAAGAATTTGGGAAAATGTTGCTCAGACTTTATTTGACATTGACCATATGAAACATGAATTTACAATTACTGGCAAAAGGAAGTCCTCAAGTTGGAAGAAAAAAGTTCATAGAAGGATAGAATCATAATAATAATAAGGAAAGCTATAAAAAGACAAACAGATATGGCAAAGTTATAGTCCCTAATGTACCTGAGCCGAATGCACTTCTACTCTCATGATTTGCTACTTGAGCTAATAAATTTATCACTGTACCAATGTTGATTCTACTGAGGTTCTGTCTCTTTTCCCTGGAAGAGTCTTCCATTATAAAAATTTAGGCACTATTGAAGTCCAGTTCACACATTTCTTGACATCAGTCTTCAAACTTGTGTGATTTTTCTCTATTGGTGCTCTGTAGCCTAAGAGGAGTTGCATAGAATTAAAAAGTTGGAGTAGTCCAGAATTGAGGAAATAAAGAGAAATTAATAGGTTCTTTGTGTCAATGAATAACCAGGGGAATGTAATCCCACCTCTTGAGTCTGAAGTTTTATTGATATAGAAAAAAACTGTTGCTTAAGAGGGACAAAAGGAATATGATGCAATAATAATGAAACAGGTTTTAATGAAGCAATAAGGTAAAAGTATATTCAATAAATAATATAAGAAAGGTTGTTAATAACAAAAGGGTGAGTTTGTTTGCAGTGCTATAACAAATCTACCAACTACATCCCTAGCTGTTTAACCCTAATTGTTAAATTCTAAACACATCTACATCTACCAGCTACATCCCTAGCCATTCTACAGCTGTTCTTGAGCCAAACCCTCTAGGACAATTAAACCTCTTAGCAAATATTTCAGAGTCCATATCTTAAATTCCATAGACTAAGTGGCTTATAAACAACAAACATATTTGTCATGGTTCTGGAGGCTGCAAAGTCAAGCATCAAGGCACAAACAGTTTTGGTGTCTGGTACCAGCTCACTTCCTCATATGTGGTTATCTTCTCACTGTAACCTGACATGGCAGAAGGGATGAAGGATCTCTTCTATAAGGACTGTAGTCTCTTTTATAAGGACTCGAATTTCTTATACACCTCAGAAATTATTCGAGAGGTTTTCCCTCTCAGAATGTCATCATGCCCCCAAAGACTCCATCTCCAAAACTTTCACATTGGAAATCAGATTTCAACATAAAAATTCGGGGCTGTGGAGTGTTACAAGCATTCAGACTATAGCAGGATACAATGGCAAGGTTTTGGAAAACTATCACAGTGGGAGGTTGATTCAAGTGAGAAGCACAGAGTTAAATGGAAATAAATGATTTAGAAAACATTGCACTATGAAAATTGTATTTTGTCAAAGATCAGAGTGTTCAGAAATCTAAGATATTGTGGACTTAGGAGAGCACACACACAAAAAGGCAAACAGTAATCCTGGAGGCTTCTGGCAATGGTGGAATAGCATATAGACAAACCATTCTTCAGATGACAATTGTGAACTCTAAACAGATCATGAAAACAACTGTTTTAAGGCACTAAAGAGTTACCAGAAGCAGACAGAAATTAAAGAGGAGTCAAGCTTTGAAAGAAAGAAGCTCTGCTGAGTAAAATGTGTATTTCTATTGCTTTTCACCTGAGGGCTACCTTCAGTCTGATATGTATGGGCAGTGAAAACAATAGGAGAAAGCTGCAATTTTAAGTGTAGAAGAGTCACAGGACAATTTGAGGCTCCCAGAATGGCAGAAAAGTGAAGGGGCTGGGGAATTCAAGAAAGGACACCACATAAGGAAGGGTACCAAAATACAAATTGCACAAATCCTTTGTTAATGCCTGAATGACACACACATAGGGAATCTCAATTTTCCCCAGTGGAAGCAACCACTGAAAGTATGAGGAGCTGAGTGGTTGTGGCTGCTTCCAAATACATTGAGGTGGGGTATGGCATTTGAGTTCAGATGTGATAACATCATTCTGTAATAAATAACATCATTGCTTAAAGGAAGAAAACAGAATCCAGAGACAATGCAACATATCAGCACGATGTCAAGAATATAATTATTACTAGAGAGACTTCATCCTCAGAATATTTTCACTATAGTAAAATTACTAGAAGAAAATATAGGGGAAAATCTCCACAAAATTGGATTGGGCAAGGATATTTTGTATATGACTCCAAAAGCACAGGCAACAAAGGCAAAATTAGACAAATGGGATGAAATCAAGGTAAAAAGCTTCTGCATGGCAAAGCAAACAAAATGAGGACAACCCACAGAAAGGAAAACATTATTTTCAAACCGTACATATGATAAGGAATTAATATCCAAAATATATAAGGAACAAAAACAACTCTATAACAAAAAACACACAACCTGGTTGAAAAATAGGCAAAGGATCTGAACAGACGTTTCTCAAAAGCAGACATAAAAATGGCAAACAGATACATTTAAAAATGCTCAGTATCACTAAGCATGAGGGAAATACAAATATTATAAAAACCACAACGAAATATCACTTTACTCCTCTTAGCATGGCTCTTATTATTATCAAAAGGTGAAAAATAATAAGTTTTGTTGAGGATGCAGGAAAAAGGGAACTTACACATTCTGAGAATGTAAATTAGTAAAACCATCATGAAAAATGGTACGGAGATTCCTCAAAAAACTAAAAAATATAACTAGCATATGATCAAATAATTCCATTTCTGGGTATGTATGCAAAGGATGTGAAATCTGTATGTTGAAGGGATATTTGCATGCCCACATCATTGCAGCATTATTCACAATAGTCAGGAGATGGAATCAACCTAAGTGTCTGTCAATGGAAGAATGGATAAATAAAATGTCATATATATATATGCATAAATGAAATATTATTGAAAAAGAACTTTTGTGACAACATTGATTAACCTATAGGGAGAACATTATGTTAAATAAAATAATCCAGACACTGAAAGAAAAGTACCAAATAATCTCACTTACATATGAAATCTAAAAACGTTAAACTCATAGTAGCAGAGAGCAAAATAATGCTTACCAGAGACTGGAGGAGGGGCGCAGGAGGGAATTAGGAATTGTTGATAAAAGGGTACAAAGCTTCAAAAAGAGGCATAAGATTTGAAATCTATTACATAGCAGTGTAACTACAGTGAATAATAAAGTACTTTAGATTACCATTAACATACTCCATTTAGAGTTCATTTGTACTATGACACACTGATATAAAAATAATATACCAGTATAGTCCCATTTACTTCATTTGCTGTACTATTGTCATATTTATTACACTTAGTTATGTTATTTATAAGCATCACAATTCACCCTTATAAAATTTGCTTTAAACACTTACTACATGTGTATATTTCAAAATAAGAGTAACTTTCAAATTTCTCCCCATAAAAAATGATAAATGAAGTAATAGATATATTAATTAGCTCAATTTAATCATTGAACTTTGTATACGTATATCAAAACATCACATTGTACCCCATGATGTATACAGTTATGATTTAACAAAAAATCACAGTAATTTTAAAATGTAGAATAAAATCAAAAGATATCTAGATTTTCAGGCCATCCCGGTCCTATAGAATCAGAAATTGAATTTTCACATGACCCTCAGGAAATTTAATACACATTCACGTTTACATAGACATAACCGAGGCCAGTGCTTCCCAACAGAAATAAATTAAAATGTTAGCCAAATGTGTAGTTTTAAAGTATCTCGTAAACATATATATAATAATTTTAATAAAATAAATATTAAGCTAATAAAATCTTAAAGAATTTCTTCAGCATAAAGGGAAATAGCACCAAGTGGAAACTTACAGAAAGACATGAAGTCTTTGAAAATGAAAAATATGTAGGCACATACACTAGAATATACAAAATTTTTATTTTTTAAAACACATGCAACTGTTTAAGACAAATGTTATAATGCTGAATGGTGGATTTATAAATAATAAACATAACAAATATGACAATAATATAGCAAATGTGATAAATTGAACCATACTGGTGTAAAATTCTTATATGTGTAGTAGTGCAAATTTAAATGGATTATGCAAAAGGCATTCCAAAGAGCAACAAGTAAAAAAAAATTTAAAAAGGGATGGCTATATCAATGAAATAATAAAAATATTTAACCAAAATAAAACAGAAATGAAAGCAAGAAAATTACAACAAAAAACAATAGGCCAAATTACAAAAAGCAAATGGTAAACATAAATTCAATGATCAAAATAATTCCATAAAATGTCAATGAACTAGACAAAAATCCAACCGAGGTATAGATTATTCATCTGGATAAAAAAATCAAGGCCCAGCTTTATTCAATCTACAAGAAATGCAGGTAAATATAAAGACATAGATAAGTTGCAAGAAAGACAGATATACTGTTCAAAAAAAGGCATAAAAATGTGATGATCTATATTCATATTAGAACAAATAGATCCCAGACCAGAAGTAAAAATGATTATCATAATACTGAAGGGGTCAGTTGATCAGTAACTCCAGTCAACAAAATGTGGAGCAGCAGAACCATGCATACAATATGCAGATTCATGAGAAATAATAATAGGTTTTTATTTGTTAAGTCTCTAAGTCAGTTGTTTGTTACAGATAGAGACAATTGAAACAGAAATTAGTACCTAGAAGTGAGATGCTACCATAAATAAAACAGTTTTGTGCCATTGAGACTATTTTGGAAAGAGGTTGCAAAAACAGAAAATTTTAATGATGTCTGTAAGATCAGTGAGGAAATTTGTACTGGAGCTGGAGAAATGGAAACTGTATTATATATTGACCAAATACTGGGATCACTGTTGCTTGTGCCAATGTGAAAGATAGAAAATATACAGCATGACCTTATTAACTAGGCTAAGATTTCAGGACAAAATGTGGAAGTTACCAAATAGCTTCATTTACTGGCCTATGATAAAACAGGAAATAAGAGATGAGTTGACGATGGGACTGTTTTTAACCAAAATTTAGAAAAAATATTTTTAACACAGGAGTACTGTGTTGGAAAATAAATAAGATTCTTATTTTCAGACTTCCAGCTGGTAAAAAGTTTTCAAAATAGACTCAGAGCCATTATTGAATCCAGGACATTACCAGTAAAAGTAGGGTTCAGGTCAAGATCAAGGGTGCATGGTTTTTAAACCCTTTGTTAAGAATCATCTAAGGCAGAGGAATGTAGACCCCTCAGGTAGATAAATATATTTTTAAATCATGAGGACATATCTTAACTCTTACCTCATGGTAGAGAGAACATAATTCTGAGAGATTTGTGTGTCTGGCAGGAAGCTGGCTAAGAAAATTATTCACCTGCAACGTGAGCCACGACTTATGGCTTGCAGAGGAAGGGTCACAGAAGTACTATGGACTGATCTGTGCTATATACCTTTCTTCTTCTCTCCTTTTTTAAGAATGTTTATCTGTTGTAGTATTTCTGTCTCTGCTTAACTTTTCATATTGAGAATATGGATGAGCAGATAACTCGTCTTAAATTTGTAAGTCTCTGAATCAAGAAAAACTGTACCCAAAAGTGAAAACAGAGAAACTGTAGTAAAGTAGCCTCATCTACAATTCTGCAATCTACATCCAGACTTAATCTAAATAATGCTATTCTAGATTTTAAGTGAATTCCAGTGTGATAAGATATTTATAGGTAGAAAAGAGTTTAATTTCCTTATTGAGCATCTTAGTTATTGTGGCCAGAGATTGAGCTGTGTTACATAATATCTAAAAATGACCACTTATCATCCCACTTGATCAGCTGGGATTGGTCAAACACTCTTCTGTCCATGTAGTTTTCTGTATGACTAGCTTGGGCTTCCTTACAACATGGCAACCTGGGGGTAATCAAATTTTTTTAGAACATTGGTTCTAAGCTAGAAATGACTTTGCCTTTCCAGGAGACATTTGGCAAAGCCTAGAGACATTTATGGTTGTCAGGACTGGAGGAATAAAAGAGGCATCAAGTGAGTATACTATGTGCTAAATTTTTCCTCCAAAAATTCACATTTTAAAGTTCTAACCCTCAGTGAGGTCATATCACAATGTAATGTTATTTGTAAATAAAGTCATCTCAAATATATGTAATTAGTTAAGGAGAAGTCATACTTGAGTAGGATAGGTTTCTAATCTAATATGACTGATGTCCTTATCAAAAAGGAAAATTTAGGCACAGACACACAGGGAGACCTCCATATGAAGATGAAAGCAGTGATTGGGGTGATGCTTCTACAAGCCATCGAATGACAGACATTATCAACAAAGCACTGGAAAACATGGGAGGAACATGGAAGAGATTCTCTCTCATAGTTGTCAGAAGGAATCAACTTTACCAAGACCTTAGTCTTGGATGTCTAGCTTTTAGAACTGTGAAACAATAAATTTTTGTTGTTTTCACAACCCATTTTTTGGCGTAGCCTCACAAATACAAGGTAGAGGTCAGGGATTCTGTATACATCTTACAATGAGTAACGAAGTCTCATACAACTAAAAATTATCTGATAAAAGTGTCATTAATGGTGAAGTTGAGAACCTGGTAAGGAGCAACTATTTTAAGAGGAAAGAATCAGAAAGTGCAAGTCTCTTAAGATCCGTGGGCCAAAATTGGCAAAGTAACACTTCTGCAAGATTCTATCGTGCAAACATTTCAGAGTCCATCCAGATTCAAAAATGAGGTAATATTTATTTTATTTATTTATTTTCTTGTTTGTCTATTTATCCATTTACTTTTTACTACATTTTGCTATCTAGCAATGATTATTTATATTCCACTTACATGCAAAATACACCCTTTTTTACTAAGATACCAAAAGTCTTCCTCCATCATAGCATAAGACTTAGGTTGAGATTATAAATTAAACTTTCTAAAATATCTTTTTATAAAATCTGCAAAACCATAAAATATTTATGGTTAATATTTTTAAAAAGGAAAATATGCAGAAAAATACAAAACATTGCGAAGAGAAATTAAATATATAAGAATGGAAAAATGTAATCACATCACATACTGGAAGAATAAATGTGGTTAAGATAATTCATAGATTCAATGTAATCCCTCTTCTAATGCAAGTAGTTTTTTTTAAAAATTGACATGTGTTTTAAGATATAGAAATGTATAAACATATAATGGCCAATAAGTCTATTAAATACAAGAAAAAGTTGACAAATTGTACCATCTGATTTTACAGCTTAAGAAAGTGTTTAATTTGAAAAATAAAAAGACGGTTTGATCAATGAAAGTGAAAAATTTCAGAAATAGAACCACACTTATACAATTAATTTATTTTCAACAAAATATCCAAAGCAATTCAATAAGAAAATAAAAGCCTTTTAAAAAATGATGGTGGAAATGGTAGATATTCATACGGAAAAAATGACATTGACTTCTACCTCACATCATACACAAAGACACTAATTTTAGATGATCATCATTCTCTATGTAAAACCTAAAACTATGAAGGAGAAAATGTAGAAGTTCTTTGTTATCAAGGAGTAGGAATTTTTGTATTAGAACATGTAAAATAAGCAATAATCATTAAAGAAAAAATGATAATTTAGACTAACCAAATTTAAAATTTTTGCTCACCAATGATACTATTTAGAAAATGAATAAGCATGAGAGAAAATACTTACAAACACATACCCAGGACATAAAGCAGAATATATCCAGACAGCGCTTATAATTCACTAATATAAAACAAAACACTAAAACGGTGTGCAAATAACTGGAGAAAATATTTTCATTGAAAGATAAGTAAAAAATTCTTATGATTAATCATCAGAAAAATGTAAAACTAACCAAAAGTGAATACTCCTCCAGAGACTAAAGTTAATAAAAAAATTATTGAAAATGTGAAGTAACTCAAAGTCTCACACACTGTTGGTAAAAAGATAAAATTGTTGATAGGGAATCAAATGAAAGTTTAAAAAATTTGAAAAACATTTTGCAGATTATATTTAAAATTAAACATACACCTATGCTAAGAATAACAATTTATATAAACAAGTGAAATGAAAATATTGTTCTATAAAAAGTCATTTACAAGCATGTTTATAGCAGTTTTATTGATTGTAACCCAGATTTGGAAACAAAAAAATATCTGTCAACATGAAAATAAATAAGGACCTAGTGATATGTATGTACAATGGACTATTACTCAGTGAAGGAAGGATCAAACTACTGACATAAGACTCTCTCAAATATTATGCTAAACAAAAGATAAAAGAAAAGGGACCTATTATAAGATTTCACTTTTTATTTCAAAAATAAGGAAAAACATTAAAAAAATTGTTACCCCAAGTAACAGTGTTGATTGGGAAGGGGACAGAAGGAATTTTCTGTTTATGAAAATGTATTATATCTTTAAAAAATGTGAGTTTTAAAACTGTATGCATTTTTAAAACCCATCTAATCTACATACGTTTAGGATTATGCACTTATGTGTACATTTTAGCTAAGAACAGGATGATAAATTGTTTTCTTATTAGATTTGTTTAATTATTAATTATTAGTGGTTTTGGTTAGTGATTCTAAACCTTTTTGCCATGCATTCTTGACTTGAGCAAATTTGTAGATATTGTTGAAATTAATGAAGCTAGGTTTCTCACTGTTGGAGGAGGAACTGCTAATACGGAAAGGAGAAGTAAAAGGCACCCTGAGGTATTGTTTATAAATTGGAGATATGAGTATAAACTCATGTTTTTTAATACACAGGCATAGAAACATAAATATAAATATATGTACATGCATGTATTTACATATGATACTAGAATATTCCTAACACTTTGGATGATTGGATAAGATTGTATAGAGTTGACTCTTGAACAATGTGGGAACTAAGGGTGCTAAAACTACACAGTTGAAAATTTATGTATAAATTCGACTCCTTAAATCTTAACAACTAATAACAAACTCTTGACTGGGAGCCTTACCCATAACATTAACAGTTGATTAACACATATGTGTATTTTGTATGTTATAGGTATAAATATCGTATTGTTACAATGAATAAAGTAACCTAGAGAAAAGAAAAAACACTAAGAAAATCATACGGAAGAGAAAATACATTTACTTTTTATTAAGTGAAAGTTATCATATAGGTCTTTTTTCTTTCCAGTTTTTATTTTAAGTTCAGAAGGTACATGTGCAGGTATATAACGTGCGAAAATTGTGTGTCATGGAGGTTTGGTGTACAGATAGATTATTTCATCACTGAGGCAATAAGCTTAGTACCTGATAGGTAGTTTTTTGATCCTTGCCCTCCTCCCACCCTTGACCTTCAAGTAGGTCCTCTTATCAATGTTCTCTTATTTGCATCTGTGTGTACTCAACGCTTAGCTCCCACTTAGAAGTAAGAATGTGCAGTAGTTGGTTTCCTGTTCTTGCATTAATTCAATTAAGATAATGGCCTCCAGCTCCTTCCATATTGCTACAAAGAATATGATCTCATTCAATTTTATGTCAGCTTAATATTCCATGGTGTATTTGTACCACATTTTCTTTATTCACTCCACCATTGATAGGCATTTAGATAGATTCCATGACTTTGCTATTAGGAATAGTGCTGCAATGAACATACATGTGCATGCATATTTATGGTAGAACAATTTATATTCCTTTGGGTATATACCCAGTACTGGCATTGCTGGGTCAAATGATAATTCTGTTTTAAGTTCTTTGAGAAGTCTCCAAACTGCTTTTAACCACGGCAGGACTAACTTATATTCCCACCAGCAGTGTATAAATATTCCCTTTTCCCCACAACCTCACCGACATCTGTTATTTTTTTACTTTTAAGGATAGCCATTCTGAGTGGGTATGAGATGGTATCTCAATGTGGTTTTGATTTGCATTTATCTAATGAATAGTGATGAACTTTTTTTTATAGATTTAGTCATGTGTATGTCACCTTCTGACAAATGTTCATGTCCTTTGCCCATTTTTCAATGGTGTTTTTTTGTTTTTTTTTTGGCTTACTAATTTGTTTAAGTTCCTTACAGATTCTGGATATTAGATATTTGTTAGATGCATAGTTTGCAAGTATTTACTCCCGTTTTTTAGGGTATCTGTTTATCTGGTTGAAAGTTTCCTCTTTAATTAAGTGCCATTTGTCAGTTTTTGGTTTTGTACAATTGCTTTTGGCATCATAATGAAAATATTTTCTTTCCCATGGCCTATTTTCAGAATGGTATTTCCTAGTTTTTTTTCTAGGATTGTTATAGTTTTAGGTGATACATTTATGGGTTTAATACATCTTTAGTTGATTTTTGTATATGGTGAAAGGTAAGGGGTCAAGTTTCAGTCTTCTGCGTATAGCTAGCTAGTTATCTCAGCACCGTTTATTGAATAGGGAGTCCTTTCTTCATTTCTTCTTTTTCTTGACTTTGTTGAAAATCAGATGGTTTTAGGTGTGCCGCTCTATTTCTGGATGCTGTATTCTATGCCATTGGTCTATGTGTTTGTTATTGTACCAGTGCCTGCTGTTTTGGTTAATGTAGCCTTGTTGTATGGTTCAAATTCTGATACTGTGATGCCTCTGGCTTTATTCTTTGTGCTAAGGATTGCTTTGGCTATCCAGGCTCTTTTTGGTTCCATATAAATTATTAATAGTTTATTAATAAAGTACTTATTAATAAATTATTATATATTACTATGTAATATATAATATATAACACTATAATATAAAAATATATAATATATATTACAAACAAATTATTAATAATACAAATTATTAGTAGTTTATATGGAACCAGAAAAGAGCCTGGATAGCCAAAGCAATTCTGTGAAAAATGTCATCGCTAGTTTGACAGAGCATTGGAATCTGTAAATTGCTTTGGTCAGTATGGCCATTTTAACAACGATTCTTCCAATTCATGAGCATGGAACATTTTTCCATTTGTGTGTGTCATTTCTGATATCTTTGAGCAGTGTTTTGAAATTCTCATTGTAGAAATTTTTAACAACCCTGTTTAGCTGTATTTCTAGTTTTTTTTGTGTATGGCTATTGTGAACCCAATTGCATTCTTAATGTGGTTCTCAGTTTGGACATCATTGGTGTATAAAAATACTAGTGATTTTTGTACATTGATTTTGTATCCTGAAACTTTACTGAAGTTGTTTATCAGATCTAGGAGCTTTTGGGTAGAGACTATGGAATTTTCTGTATATACAATCATATCATGGTGACTTCCTCTCTTCCTATTTGGATGCCTTTTATGTCCTTCTCTTGACTGATTGCTCTGACTAGGACTTCCGGTGCTATGTTCAATATGAGTAGTTAGTGTAGGTATCCTTGTCTTGTTCTGGTTCCCAAGGAGAATGCTTCCAGCCTGTTCAGTATGATGTGTGTTTGTCATAGATGGATCTTAGTATTTTGAAGTATATTCCTTCATTGCCTAGTGTGTTGAGGGTTTTTAACATGAAGTGACGATGAGTGTTATTGAAAGCCTTTTCTGTATCTATTGAGATGATCATGTGGGTTTTGTTTATAGTGTTGTTTATGTGATGAATTCCATGTATTGATTGGCATATGTTGAACAAACCATGCATCCCAGGAATATGGCCTACTTGACTGTGGTGGATTAGCTCTTTGATGTGGTACTAAATTGGGTTTGGTAATACTTTTTTGAGTATTTTTGAATCTATGTTATTCAGAGATATCGGTCTAAATTTTTCTTTTTTTGTTGTTTCTTTGTGAGGTATCGGTAAAGGAATAATGCTGGCCTCATAGAATGAGTTAGAAAGGGGTCCTTTCTCCTCAAATTTTTTGGAATAGTTTCAGTAGGAATTGTAGTAGCTAGTGTTAGGCTATTTTTATATTGCTATAAATAAATATCTGAGACTGGGTAATTTATAAAGAAGAAAAGTTTAACTAGCTCACAATTATGCATGATTAGTAGAAAGCATGGGGCTGGCACCTGCTCAGCTTCTAAGGAGGCCTCAGAAATCTTACAATTATGGAAGA